>NC_000012.12:75338915-75490431 GCF_000001405.40 Homo sapiens
GCAAAGGACTTGATCTCATTCCTTTTTATGGCTGCATAGTATTCCATGGTGTGTCTGTAGCACATATTTTCTTTATCCATTCTATCACTGATGGGCATTTGGGTTGATTCTATGTCTTTGCTATTGTGAATAGTGTGCAGTGAATATACATGTGCATGTATGCTTATAATAGAATGATCTATATTCCTTTGGGTACATACCCAGTAATGGGATTGCTGGGTCAAATGGTATTTCTGACTCTAGATCTTTGAGGAATTGCCACACTGTCCTCCACAATGGGTAAACTAATTTACACTCCCACCAACAATGTAAAAATGTTCCTTTTTTTCCCGCAACACTGCCAGCACCTGTTTCTGGACTTTTTAATAATTGCCATTCTGAGTGGCCTAAGATGGTATCCAATTGTGGTTTTGATTGCATTTTTCTAATGCTAACTGATGTTGAGCTTTTTTTCATTTGTTTTTTTGGCCATATGTATGTCTTCTTTTGAGAAGTGTCTGTTCATGTCCTTTGGCCACTTTTTAATGGGGTTGTTCTTTAAATTTATTTAATCTCCTTATAGACTCTGGATATTAGACCTTGGTCAGATGGATAGATTGCTAAAATTTTCTACCATTCTGTAGGTTGTCTGTTCACTCTGATGATACTTTCTTTTGCCGTACAGAAGCTCTTTAATTAGATACCATTTGTCCATTTTTGTTTTTGTTGCAATTGCTTTTGATGTTTTCATCATGAAATATTTGCCCGTGCCTATGTCCTGAATGGTATTGCCTAGATTTTTCTTCTAGGGTTTTTATGATTTTGGGTTTTACATTTAAGTCTTTAATCCATCTTGAGCTAATTTTTGGATAAGGTGTAAGGAAGGGGTCCAGTTTCAATTTTCTGCATATGGCTAGCCAGTTCTCCCAGCGGAAAAGTTATTTACTGGTGATTTCTGAGATTTTGGTGCACCCATCGCCCAAGCAGTGCCCAATGTGTAGTCTTTTATCCCTCACCCCACTCCCACTCTTCCCCATGAGTCCCCAAAGTCCATCATTCTTATGTCCTCATAGCTTAGCTCCCACTTAGAAGTGAGAACATACAATGTTTCATTTTCCATTCCTGAGTTACTTCAATTAGAATAATGGTCTCCAACTCCATCCAGGTTGCTGCAAATGCCATTATTTTGTTCCTTTTTATGGCTGAGTCGTATTCCATTATATGTATATATTTTATACACACATATATATAAAATATATATGTATAAATATATATATACATACCACATTTTCTTTATTAACTTATTGGTTGATGGGCATTTAGACCGTTTCCATATTTTTAGAACTGCAAATTGTGCTGCTATAAACATGTGTGTGCTAGTGTCTTTTTCAAAAAACGACGTATTTTCCTCTGCGTAGATTTTTGACAAAGATGCAAAAGTAATTCAGGGGAGCAAGGATAGTCTATTCAAGAAATGGTGTTGAAACACCATTTAATGCCTATAAGAAAAGAAAAAACTTTGACCTAAAGAGCAAAAATTAACCCAAAATGAATCATAAATTTAAATAAAACTATTAGAAGAAAAACAGGAGAAAATCCTCAGGACAGGGCTAGATGAAACTTCCTCATATAATGAATTATTTTGATTTTTATCAAGACCGAAAACTATTTTTAAAAAGTCAACAAATTTGACCTCATCAAAATAAGAAACTTCTACTTTCTAAAGTACCCTGTTAGGAAGATGAGAGGACAAACTACAAACTAGGAGAAAATATATTCAAACCATATATTTAAGAAAGAACTCCTATCTAGAGAAAGAAGTCTCAAAACTCAACAGTAAAAAAAAAAAAGAAAAAAATTCAATTAGAAAATGAACAGAAGACTGACATTTAGCCACAGAGATATACAGATGGAAAATAAGCACATGAAAACATGCTAAACATCATTAGCCATTAGTGAAATGCAAATTAAAACCACAAGGACATATCACGACACACCAATTAGGAAAGCAAAAATAAAAAATAATGACAATACCAAATACTGGTGAAGATATGGAGAAAATTGATCAGTCTTACTTTTCTGGTGGGAATGCAAAATGGTATAGCCACTCTAGGAAATAGTTTGGCAATTTCTTACAAAAAAAAAAAGAACACCTAAACATACACTTACATATGACTTAGACTTGCAATTGCACTTCTGGGCACTTTTTCCTTTTTCTTTTTTCCTAGAAAAAGGAAAACATTGCTACATAAAAACCTGCTCACAAATATTTATGGATACTCCCGATTCAATGCTCTTGAGAAACAGGAGTTTAGTGACTCTATACATGTTTGTAATAGCTCAAACTTGTAAACATCCAAATTTCCATCAATAGATGAAAGTTAAACTGTGGTACATCTATACCATGGAATATGACTTGGTCACTAAATGGAACAAACTATCAACACATGTAACATCCCCATGGCTCTCAAAGGCATTATGCTGAGTGAAGAGAAGCCAATCTCAAAATGGATACATAGAGTAGGATTCTATTTATATAACATTCTTTTTTTCTTTTTCTTTTTTTCTTTGAAACGGAGTCTCGCTGTGTCGCCCAGGCTGGAATGCAGTGGCGCTGTCTCGGCTCACTGCAAGCTCCGCCTCCCGGGTTCACGCCATTCTCCTGCCTCAGCCTCCGGAGTAACTGAGACTACAGGCGCCCGCCACCACGCCCGCAGAATTTTTTGTATTTTTAGTGGAGACGCGGTTTCACCGTGTTAGCCAGGACGGTCACGATCTCCTGATCTCGTGATCCGCCCGCATCGGCCGCCCAAAGTGTTGGGATTAAAGGCGTGAGCCACCGCGCCCGGCCTCTTTTTTTTTTTTTTTTTTTTTTTTGAGATGGAGTCTCTGTCACCCAGACTGGAGGGCAATGGCACGGTCTTGGCTCACTGCAACCTCCGCCTCCTAGGTTCAAGCAATTCTCCTCCTCATCCTCCTGAGTAGTTGGGATTACAAGCACCGCCCCCACACCTGGCTGATTTTTGTATTTTTAGTAGCGATGGGGTTTCACCCTGTTGGCCAGGCTGGATCTCCTGACCTCAGGTGATCCACCCGCCTTGGCCTCCCAAAGTGCTGGGATTACAGGCATGAGTCACCACGCCTGGCCACCTATTTATACAACATTCTTGAAATAACAAAATTACAGAACTGAAGAACAGATTGGTGATCGCCAGGGGTTAAAGATAGTGTGGGTAGTGAGTGGTTGTGACTTAATGGGTTAGCATGAAGGATCCTTGTGGTGTTGAAACAGTGCTGTATCTAGATATTGTGGGAGTGATTACTTCAATTTATACATGTGATAAAATCACATAAACCTACACATATACAAAAATAAATGCATGTAAAACTGTTGAAATCTTTAAAAGGTCTGTAGATAATACCAATGTCAATTTCTTATTTTGATATCATACTATTGTTACAAAAAACATTACCATTGGGAAAAGTAGGTGAAGTCTACACAGGACCCCTGTGTATTATTTTTGTAACTTCTTGTGAATTTATAATTAGTTAAAAATAAAAAGATGTTTAAAAATAACCTTGGCAATTATACCTACATTAAGACTGTTGCTTTTGTGATGAGTTGTTTCTGGACTCTGTTCTGTTCCATTGAGCTATTTGTCTACCCTTGTGTCAATATGACAATATCTTAATGTAGCTTTATGATAAATATTGATATCTGGTAGAGAAAGTCTCCAGTTTTATTCTACATTTAAAAGATTGTCTGAGCTTTACTTGGAACATTGCATTTCCACATAAATTTTGTAATCAATTTCCACCCCAAAAAAGCTACTTGGAGTTTGATTAGAAATAAAATTATATGTCATAATCAATATTCTTTTGCAATACAGAATATTCTGGTCCATGAACATTTTATATCTCTCCATTTATTTAAGTCTTTTACAACTTCTTTCAGTTACGTTTTTGCAGTTTTCAGCATAGAGATCTTGTATATCACTTATTAAATTTATTTATACATATTGAATGTTTTGCAGCTATTCATTTGTAGAATATATAGATATATAATAGATTTTGCATATTTTCCTTGTATCTTTCAACTTTGATAACTTCATTTATTTTTATAGTATTGTTTATGTATTAATTTAAATTTTTATGTATCCAGTCATGTAATCTGTGAATAATGATAGATCCCAATCCTTATACATTTTATATATTTTGTCTTATGTATTTACAACTCATGTATTTTATTATACTACCTAACTTCTTGTACAATAATGAATAGAAATAACAAGGGCAGATATCTTGTTTCATTCCTAATCTTGAGGGAAAGTTTTAGTATTTCACCATTTGATAAGATTTTTGTCTGTTTGTTTGTAGATTATCTTTATCAAATTAAGGGGATTTTTTCTTTCTATTCCTAGTTTTTTGCCCTTTTTAATTATCAATGAGTATTCATCCTTTAATTGTAATAAATTAACATGACCTTCTGAATTACTAGACTTTGAATTCTGGCTTATTTTAATCACATTCCGATTTATTTGTTTAGTGACTCTAATGTACCAGGCCATCTGCTAAGTACAGGTAATATAACAATGAACTGTCATAGAGTGAGTATAAATAAGTATTTCTGAAGTAGAACTAAAAAGAAATCACTAACTATGCACATAATAAATACCAAAGAAAAACTACATCTTATTAAAATAATAAATTTAAGCAAAACTTAGTTGATTACAATAATTAGAATAATTTAATGCAAATACTTATGCACAATTCAATTTAAATTATTTTTATCTTTCAGATTTGGGATAAAGGTTTAGCAAAGATGGCTAAAGCATGGGCAAACCAGTGCAAATTTGAACATAATGACTGTTTGGATAAATCATATAAATGCTATGCAGCTTTTGAATATGTTGGAGAAAATATCTGGTTAGGTGGAATAAAGTCATTCACACCAAGACATGCCATTACGGCTTGGTATAATGAAACCCAATTTTATGATTTTGATAGTCTATCATGCTCCAGAGTCTGTGGCCATTATACACAGGTAAATATTTGACATCTTTATTGATTAGTTCTTATTTGTGCATATTTTAATTGCCAGAATTTATTTCTCTGTATGTAAAGTGCCTTTATTTTTCTGGCTGCCTTTACATTTTTTCCTTTATCATAGGTCTTGAGCAATTTAATAATAATATACCAAAGTTTTCTGTATGTTTCTTGTGCTGCAGTTCACTGGCCTTTTTGAAGTTGTAAGTCTATAACTTAAATCAAATTTAGAAGAATGTTGGCCATTGTTTCTGGAAATACTTCTTTCTCTCACTCTCTCTCTTCCCTTCCCTGGAAGTGGGAAGTTCTCTTCAAGTTACTCATGTAGAAAGCCACTTGAAGTTCTTCCCACATAAACTGATGCTCTTGTCTTTTTTCTTGGTTTTCTTCTCTCTGTGATTAATTTCAAGTAATTTTATTGCTACATCTTTAAGTTTGCTAATCTAGCCTTCTGTAATGTTTAGTCTCCTGTTAATCCCATTCAGTTTGTTTTCAATCTTGCACCTTAAAGTTTGTATCTCTACAAATTTAATATTTTTACATCTTCAATGAATATACCTAATATGTTTTCTCTTTCATCTAGCTTTTTAAGCATATGAGATAGAGTTGCAATAATTAATATTTTCCCTGCTAGCTCTAGTATCTATGTTAGCTCTGTGTTAGTTTCAATAGATTGATTTTTCTCTTCATTATGAATCGAATTTTCTTCCATCATATCATGTTGGGTAAATTTTATTATATTCGCAATTTGTACATTTTGCCTTGTTGAGTGCTGGGTTCATCTGTATACTATAAATATTCTTGAGCTGTCTTTTTGGGTACAGCTAAGTTACCTGCAATTTATTTGATCCTCTTTGTTCCTGCTTTTAAAATATGTTAGGTAGAATAAAAGTAGCGTTTAGTCCAGAGCTGATAATGATCTCTCACTACAGAGGCAAGATTCTTCTGCACACTCTAACTAATACCCTGAGAATTATGAAGTTGTCCAGTTTGGAAAGTGAGAATAGGTCCAATTTCTGGCTTTGTGTAAACCGTGGTATTATCTCCTCTAGTTCTTGTAAATGGGTCAGACTAGTTTCTTCACATACATGTTTTGATTAGTACTTTGCTGAATAGATGATGAGGACCCTCTGCACATTGTCCTAGTGTGTCACTGTACAATTCTCACCTCTTCAGTACTATGCCATCTAAACTTCTGTGTCCATGGTCTCCCCAAGACTCTCAATCAGACTCTCATAACTATGAGAGTGTATCAAACTTCTCCTGAGCCATAATCTAGAAACTGTCTCCAGGCAATAAACCAGGACAATTATACAGTTTCTATCTTTTTTTTTCTGCAAATCTCAGGGGTATTATGTTGTGTTGCCTAATGTCTTGAAAACCATTACTTCCTATAATTTTCTCAATTTTTAAAATTATTTCAGATAGAAGTGTAAGTGTGTCTAAAATTCACCTTTTGGGCCATACTTTAATCCTAGACATGGTACTGAGCCCCTAGGAAAGCCTGTTTAAGCAATATAAAGAGCTAACCTTCTTCTCTAGACTTACCCATTTGTATAAGTTGAATTAATATATAGGGTCTTAAAGCAACTTGTTCTTATCAGAGGTGCAGTGAACAAATAATAGCAACTTCCATGTTCCCTTTATGTTCACTCTTCGTTCAACAACAGGTTGTTCTAAGTCTAGACACTCTCCAGGACATCAGGAAAAATGTTGGTAAAGTATATGGTTTGGATACTAAGGGAAAATTGAGAGAATGAATCAGGTGTCAGATGTCCTGACTAACAAAAAGATGCAATATCCCTAAGATGATATCAAGGCTGAGTCATAGCTTTTATATATCCTTTGTCTTCTCTTTTGCTGTAAAGTAAAAAAACAAACAAAACAAACAAAACAAAAAAAGCTGGTTCTCAAATGCCCCTTCTCCCTTCGTATTACTAAATCAGAAAGGGGAGCTTACTCTTTATTGGCTAGTTTACACACAAGGTTAAGTAATTAGGAATGGTTATATTCTTATAAAATCAACAACTATATCTTGCTTAATGTTCTAAACAAAATAAGGGAAAATTTTCTTGCACTTATCACCTACTGATATTCATATTAGAGTTACATCCAATGTTCATATTAATATTACATCTAGTTTCTTTAATGAAAGCAATACATCGTAAACCTACATAGTGAATATTTATTCTCACGATTCCAAAAGCCCCAAAAAGTCACAATTTAGATAAAATTTAATGATGTAGTTAGTTATTCATAAGCCAAATTGTTAAACATGATTTTTTGGAAATATATATATTTTAGTTGTATTTTTGGTTAATTGTTTAAAACATTCAAAAGGAAAAATGCTCTTTTAATCATCTCACCTTATCTCATTTCATTAAGTGGGAAACTACCTCAGAATTGATCTGTCACTTACTCACCAAAACCACAAAGATGGCTGAAAGCAAAACTCTTTTTTTTTTTTTGAGACGGAGTCTCGCCCTGTAACCCAGACTGGAGTACAGTGGCGTGATCTCAACTCACTGCAACCTCCACTTCCTGAGTTCAAGCAATTCTCCTGCCTCAGCCTCCTGAGTAGCTAGGATTACAGGCACATGCCACCACGCTCAGCTAGTTTTTGTATTTTTAGTAGAAACGGGGTTTTGCCATGTTGGCCAGGCTGACCTCGAACTCCTGACCTCGCAATCTGCCCGCCTCAGCCTCCCAAATCTCGTTTTTAAGTTCTCAGTTCACTTTGATTTTTCTTGCACTTTTGCTGGTAAATATTTTTTTTGCTGGTAAAATATATTTTGCAAAACTATTGACTCTGGCTAGGACAAGGCTATAGAAAACAATTGATACATCAATTTACGAAATAGCTTAGTACATTTTGCTAATAAAGTTGTAAAATAAATGAGATCAGAAATTTGTGTTGTTAAAATTTATTCTGTGTCTAAATTCCTTGAATTATTTTTCAAATGGAGTAAACCAGTATTTTTTTCCCTTTTTTGTTTATTTGGAAAATGAAAAAATTTTATTCTATCATTGTCACAAAAACTAGTAATGTTCCTCACCTCTTTACCTATCTCCTATAACTAGTTTTCCATAGAAGTCTTCTTCCTTTTGAATAACTTTGCTATTCTTTGCAACTAGATAAAAATAAAAATTCACCATCCTTACAGCAGGCATCTTTGAAAATCAACTCAATATGTTTTTCATTCCTACCTATGTCTTGTGACTTGACAAAGGTAAGAATATGGTTAAGATTGCAAAATTTAAGATGTAATTTGTAAAATTTTTCTGAGAAAAACAAATAAATGTAAGTTATTGTTTTCATTTATAGTCTGATTTTCATATTGTTTGTATGATATTCCCAGGGATAGAATTAAAATGTATTTCATAAATAATCTAGAAGAAATTATTTTGGCTGTATATTATGAATTTGGTTATATATTATATTATCCTTTTGATTTATAAGAATTACCAGTAAGGAAAAACTAGCTTGGTAGCTCTCATAAAATCAGCCATGACAATATAAGAATTTTAATATAAATATAAACATTAGAAAAAATATGTAACTAATAAATATTTATGTACATTATTTTTTGTAGCATGACAAAGATTATACCAATTCTCTAAATGCATTGTTTGCATAGAATTGTTTTCCATATTTTATCTTGACATTCCTTTTCTTTATAGTTAGTTTGGGCCAATTCATTTTATGTCGGTTGTGCAGTTGCAATGTGTCCTAACCTTGGGGGAGCTTCAACTGCAATATTTGTATGCAACTACGGACCTGCGTGAGTTATTTTCTCTTAAAAATATTTTAATTGAAATTAATGTTGATGATGGTTGCCAAATAAGAGGACCTTATACTAGACACAAGTGTATTTTTGATAAGTAATGACTCCCTCTACAATGCTAATCAAATGAGATAGGTGAAAATAGAAGATGGTGACAGAATATTGCCTTACTTAAAGAAAAATTATACCTATTATAAGATATTTAAACTTGAGAGAGAAAATGATGGAGACTGATAGGTTTAAAAAAAGAGATAATATAAAATATGTTGCCACAGTAATATATAAATACTGAAACACAAAAAGGCTGGCAGATGCTTCTCTAATATAATATAAAATAAGTGGAATAAGAAAATGATTGAGAATGATTGTAAAAGAACATACTTTTAAGAAAAGAACAACATAACTTTAATTGTCTTGCTGATAATTGCATATCTAAATGAAAATATAGCATAAGCTTAAAGGGAAACTCCAAAAATGAAATTCTAGTCCTCTAATCCTGGTGAATCTATACTAGGAAGACTATAAAAACAGTTAATAACCCAGCTCTTCAACAAACATCAATTTAAAAATAAGCAGTAGAAAAGATAAAAACAAAGACAAAGAATAAATATGCAAAACTGATGAAAAGGAGCTGAGATATGCCAAAAGTACTAGAGAGAGGCAGAAATGTGTATATATCTCTCTGTATTTTCTTCCATGACCTTTCACTTGGAAGCAAAAACAAGAATGAAAAATACAAATTTTTATAGCTTGGGAAAAGTAGAGTTTTTATAGATTCAGAGAAATTATAAAACTACTGACACATTTATTATCATCTTTTCTCTTAAGGAGACTAATCACAAGATTTGAAATGGAAAGAGAATAATAATAGGGGATGAAGGCTCAAGATTTGATGAAAAAGCAGTTAAGCATCATACTGCTTTGAATAAGTCAGGTTTTGGGGTCCAAACAAATTATGTACGTAACAGATTTCTTATGGGTCTTGTGAAAGCATACGAGAATAGTGTTATGTCACCCCTGGCCAAGTGGTAGGGACCAATATACCCTGTCACTTGAAACAAAAGCCATAAAAAGCAAAACAGATGAAGCACATGAAGCAATGGTTTTAAAGACACTGGCTATAATACAACAAAGGGCCGTGATCTCTGAAAAATAACAACAAAAAAAAGTTAGCCCTATAATTCCCCCAGCTTCCTGTCTCAGTGAGAGTGTTCAGGTCATGGAATATGAAATTACTAAGACAGAGGTTGGCTGGCTCCCTGGGTTGAAGAAATGGAGCTAAAAGTATAGGAATACCAATACAGCTAGAGTTCACGGAAAAGAGTACCAGAGAAAAGAGAACTACACACAGAGAGAACCCTAGAAATCTGCAAATAATATTCCTAGAGTATTGATTAACACATGCACGTGAGGAAACAACTTCAGGCCAGGTTAAGAAGCATCTGAAAGAATAAGAGGACACAGTTCTTGGCACTCACACAGGGAGCAGAACTAAACTGCTCCAGACCCACCTAACAATTCATAATGTAAAACCTGAAAGGATCAAAATGTTCCCATGTAATTTGACTGTATCCCACATAAGAAATGATTGAAAATGATTATAAAAGCACAGAATTTTAAGAAAAGAACAACATAACTTTAACAACAACAACAGCAAAAAAACTCAAGGAGGTTTACAGAAATACACAATACCCAGCACCTAACACTTACAATGTCTGGCATCTAATGAAATATTACCAGCCATATAAAGAAGGAAAAAAATAAGACATAAGAAGAAGCTGAATCAATAAGTTGAAATGAATGCAGAACTTACACAGATGTTATAATTAAAAGAGAAAGACATTAAAATGGTTATTATAACTGTACTCTATATTTTTAAATGTTAAGCAAAGATATGAAAAATATTAAAAACAGAGGACTACAATGTCTGAGATTTTTTAGAAGTTAAAATTAATGAAATATTAGACATTCCAGAAAAAAAGATTAATGAATTCAAAATCATAACATTAGAAATTATCCAAGACAGTGATTCAGGAGTTCAAGACTGCAGTGAGCCATGATTGCCTTGAGAAACAGAGCAAGACCCTATCTCTTTAAAAAAAGAAAAGAAAAAAATTATCCAAGATAGAATCCATAGAGGAAAAAATATCCAAAAAGATAAAAAGTGTATCAGCTGCAATACAACTTTTAGTGGAAATTGATTTCCTTACATTGGACTCCCTGCTGGCCAGCGGGGCAGGCTGGAGACTGCCTAAGAAGACCGGGTCCCGGGAGGGAGGGGTGCCCACCACCACTGTGGCTCCAGTTGGCCATTTTCCCCTGCTGCTGGTGCCAGCAAGACTGACTGGTTTGGACCAGGAGAAATTCCCCACAGCACAGCACAGCCACTGTGACAGTTTGTGGCCAGACTGCTTCTTTAAGCGAGACCCTGACACATTCCTTCTTGCCAGGCAGGGCCTACCTGAGGGATTTTCAGCACCCCCAGCCAGGGGTTTATGGACAGATCTCTGATTTCCCTGAGAGGAGCCCCTAGGAGGAGGGGCAGCCACAGTATCATGGACTGCAATCTTATCCTTTTCTGATGGCAAGCTCTGAGGAGTCTGGGTAGTCTGGACAAGGGAAATTCCTGCTTATTTAAGTGGGTCCTTTATCCTATTTCCCCTGACTGGGTGAGATCTCCCAACAGGGGTCTCCAGGCACTGCATACAGGAGCATTCTGGCGGGCATCAGGTCAATGCCCCTCTGGGACAGAATGCCCAGTGGAAAGATCAGGCTGCCATCTTTGCTGTTCTGCCACCTCCACTGGTGATACTTCCAGGTGTCAGAGGGACCCAGGTGAACAGGGTCTGGAGTAGGCCCCCAGGAAACCACAGCAGCCCTACAGAAAAGGGGCCTTACTGCTAAAAGAACAAACAGAAAGCAACAACAGCATCAATAAAAAAAGACCACAAAAACCCCATCCAAAGGTCAGCAGATTCAAAGATCAAAGGTAGATAAACCCTTGAAGATGAGAAAGAATCAACGCAAAAATGCTGAAAACTCAAAAAGCCAGAGTGTCTCTTCAGCTGCAAATGATCACAACACATCTCCAGCAAGGGCACAGAACTGGGATGAGGCTGAGATGGACGAATTGACAAAAATAGGGTTCAGAAGATGCATAATAATGAACTTCACTGAGCTAAAGGAGTATATTCTAACACATTGCGAAGAAGCTAAGAACCATGATAAAATATTACAGGAGCTGTTAACCAGAATAACCAGTTTAGAGAGGAACATAAATGAACTGATGGAGCTGTAAAACACAACACAAGAACTTCACAATGCAATCACAAGTATCAATATCCAAACAGACCAAGTGGAAGAAAGGATATCAGAGCTTGAAGACTATCTTGCTGAAATAAGGCAGGCAGACAAGATTAGAGAAAAAAGGAACAAACAAAACCTGTGAGAACTATGAGATTATGTAAGATTGAACCTATGACTGATTGGGGTACCTGAAATAAATGGGGAGAAAGAACTGAGTTGGAAAACACACTTCAGGATATCATCCAGGAGAACTTCCTCAACCTAGCAAGAAAGGTCAACATTCAAATTCAGGAAATCCAGAGAACCCCCGTAAGATACTCCATGAGAAGATCAACCCCAAGACACATAATCATCAGATTCTCCAAGGTCAAAGTGAAGGAGACAATGTTAAGGGCAGCCAGAGAGAAAGGCCAGGCCACCTACAAAGGGAAGCCCATCAGACTAACAGCAGACCTCTCAGCAGAAATCCTAAAAACCAGAAGAGATTGGGAACAATATTTAACACTCTGTTTTGTTTTGTTTTTTTTTTTTTTGAGATGGAGTCCCACTCTGTCACCCAAGGTGGAGTGTACTGGTGTGATCTTGACTTACTACCACCTCCACCTCCCAGGTTCAAGTGATTCTCCTGCCTCAGCCTCCTGAGTAGCTGGGATTAGAGGCGCTCCCCACCACACCCAGCTAATTTTTGTATTTTTAGTACAGACGGGGTTTTGCCATGTTGGCCAGCCTGGTCTCGAACTCCTGACCTCAGGTGATCCACCCTCCTTGGCCTCCCAAAGTGCTGGGATTACAGGCATGAGCCATCGTGCTGGCCCAATATTTAACATTCTTAAAGAAAAAAATTTTCAGTCTAGAATTTCATATCCAGCCAAACAACATCATAAGCGAAGGAGAAATGAGATTTTTTTTCAGACAAGCAAATGCTGAGGGAATTCATCACCACCAGGCCTGCCTTGCAAGAGCTCCTGAAGGAAGCACTAAATATGGAAAGGAAAAATGGTTACCAGTCACTACAAAAAACATGCTGAAGTACACAAACCAACAACACTATGAAGCAACTATATAAATCAGTCTGCAAAATAACCAGCTAGCATCATGATGACAGGATCAAATTCACATATAACTATACTAACGTTAAATGTAAATGGCCTAAAGGCCCCATATAAAAGGCACAGAATGGTAAGCTGGATAAAGAGCCAACATCCATCAGTGAGCTGCATTCAAGAGACCCATCTCACATGCAAAGACATACATAGACTCAAAGGGATGGAGGAAAATTTACCAAGCAAATGGAAAACAGAAAAAAGCAGAGGTTGAAATCCTAGTTTCTGATAAAACAAACTTTAAACCAACAAAGATCAAAAAAGACAAAGAAGGGCATTACATAATGGTAAAGTAATCAATTCAACAAGAAGAGCTAACTGTCCTAAATATATATGCACCCAATACAGGAGCACCCAGATTCATAAAACAAGTTCTTAGAGACCTACAAAGTGACTTAGACTCCCACACAATAATAGTGGAAGATTTTAACACCCCACTGTCAATATTAGCCAGATGACAGAGACAGAATATTAACAAAAATATCCTGAAGTTGAACTCAGCTCTGGATCAAGTGGACCTGACAGTTATCTGCAGAACTCTCCACCCCAAAACAACAGAATATACATTCTTCTCAGTGCCACAAGGCACTTACTCTAAAACTGCACATAATTGGAAGTAAATCACTCCTCAGCAAATGCAAAAGAACTGAAATCATAACAGTCTCTCAGAACAAAATACAATCAAATTAGAACTCAATATTAAGAAACACTCAAAACCACACAACTACATGGAAATTGAGCAACCTGCTCTTGAATGACTCCTGGGTAAATAATTAAATTAAGGCAGAAATCAAGAAGTCCTTAGAAACTAATAAGAACAACGATATAACACACTAGAATCTCTGGGACGCAGCTAAAGCAGTATTAAGAGGGAAATTTATAGTGCTAAATGCTCACATCAAAAAGCTAGAAAGATCCCAAATTGACATCCTAACATCATAACTAAAGGAACTAGAGAACCAAGAGCAAACAAACCCCAAAGCTAGCAGAAGACAAGAAAAAGCCAAGATCAGAGTGAAACTAAAGGTGATACAAACAAGAAAAACCCTTCAAAAAAATCAATGAATCCAGGAGCTGGCTTTTTGAAAAGATTAATAAAACAGATAGACTACTAACTAAATAGAATAATAAAGAAGAGAGAAGAATCAAATAGACACAATAAAAAATGATAAAGGGGTATCACCACTGACCCCACAGAAATACAAACAACCATCAGAGAATACTATAAACACCTCTGTGCAAATCACTTGGAAAATCTAGAAGAAATTGATAAATTCCTGTAAACATATGCCCTCCCAAGACTGAACCAGGAAGAAGTTGAATCCCTGAATAGACCAATAACAAGTTCTGAAATTGAGGCAGTAATGAACAGCCTATCAACCAAAAACAGCACAGGACCAGACAGATTTACAGCTGAATTCTACCAGAAGAACAAAGAGGAGCTGATACCCTTTCTTCTGAAAATATTCCAAACAACTGAAAAGGAGGGACTCCTCCCTAACCATTTTATGAGGCCAGCATCATCCTGATACCAAAACCTGGCAAAGAAACAACAACAAAAAACTTCAGGCCAATATCCCTGATGAACATCAATGCAAAAATTCTCAATAAAATACTGGCAAACCAAATCCAGCAACACATCAAAAAGCTTATCCATCACAATCAAGTTGGCTTCATCCCCAGGATGCAAGTCTGGTTCAACATACGCAAATCAATGAATGTAATTCATTATATCATCAGAACTAAAGACAAAAACCATATGATTATCTCAATAGATGCCAAAAGGCCTTCAATAAAATTCATCATTCCTTTATGTTAAAAACTCCTCTCAATAAACTAGGAATTGAAGGAGCATACATCAAAAAATAAGAGCCATTTATGAGAAACCCATGGCCAATGTCATACTGAATGGGCAAAAGCTGGATGCATTCCCCTTGAAAACCAGTATAAGACAAAAATGTCCTCTCTCACCACTTCTATTCAACATAGTATTGGAAGTTCTGGCCAGAGCAATCAGGGAAGAGAAAAAAAAGGGGGGGGGGTATTCAAATAGGAAAAGAGGAAGTCAAATTGTCTTTGTCTTTGTTTGCAGATGATATGATCCTATATCTAGAAAACCCCATTATCTCAACCCAAAAGCTTTTTAAGCTTATAAGCAACTTTGGCAGACAAAAAAAGTCACAAGCATTCCTGTACACCAACAACAGACAAGCAGAAAGTCAAATCATGAATAAATTCCCATTCACAATTGCTAGAAAGAGAATAAGATACCTAGGAATACAGCTAAAAAAAAAGTGAAGGACTTCTTCAAGGAGAACTACAAACCACTGCTCAAGGAAATCAGAGAAGGCACAAACAAATGAAAAAACATTGCATGTTCATGGATAGTAAGAATCAATATCGTGAAAATGGCCATACTGCCCAAAGTAATTTACAGATTCAATGCTATTCCCATTAAACTCATTGACATTCTTCACAGAATTAGAAAAAACTATTTTAAAATTCATATGGAACCAAAAAAGGGTTTGTGTAGCCAAGACATCCTAAGCAGAAAAGAACAAAGCTGGAGGAATCACACTACCTGACTTCAAACTACACTACAAGGCTACAGTAACCAAAACAGCATGGTACTGGTACAAAAACAGACACACAGACCAATGGAACAGAATGGAGAACTCAGAAATAAGACCGCACATCTATAATCAACTAGTCTTCAACAAACCTGACAAAAAGAAGCAATGAGGAAAGGACTCCCTATTTAATAGATGGTGCTGGGAGAACAGGCTAGCCATATGCAGAGAATTGAAACTGCACAACTTCCTTACACCTTATACAAAAATTAGCTCAAGATGGATTAAAGGCTTAAATATAAAACCCAAAACTATAAAAACCCTAGAAGAAAATCTAGGCAATACTATTCAGGACATAGGCATGGGCAAACGTTTCAAGACAAAAACATCAAAAGCAATTGCAACAAAAGCAAAAATGGATAAATGGGATCAATTAAACTAAAGAACTTCTACACAGCAAAAGAAACTATCATCAGAGTAAACAAGCAACCTACAGAGTGGGAGAAAATTTTAGCAATCTATCCATCTGACAAAGGTCTAATATCCAGAATCTACAAGGAACTTAAGTAAACTTACAAAACAAAAAATCATTCAAAAATGGGCAAAAGACATGAACAGACACTTCTCAAAATAAGACATTTATGCAGCCAACGAACTATAAAACACAGCTCAACATCATTGGTCATTAGAGAAATGCAAATCAAAATCGCAGTTAGATACCATCTCATGCCAGTCAGAATGGCAATTATTAAAAAGTCCAGAAACAACAGATGCTGGTGAGGTTGTGGAGAAATAGGAACGTTTTTACACTGTTGGTGGGAATGTACACTCCACAATAGTCAAACCATTGTAGAAGACACTATGGTAATTCCTCAAAGATCTAGAACCAGAAATACCATTTGACCCAGCAATCCCATCGCTAGGTATATACCCAAAAAATATAAATTATTCTATTACAAAGATAAATGCACAAGTAGGTTCAGCGCAGCACTATTTATAATAGCAAAGACATGGAATCAACCTAAATGCCCATCAATGACAGACTGGATAAAGAAAATGTGGTACATATACAACATGGAATACTATGCAGCCATAAAAAGGAATGAGATCATGTCATTTGCAGGGACATGGATGGAGCTAGAAGCTATTATTCTTAGCAAACTAATGCAGGAACAGAAAAACCAAACACCACATGTTCTCATTTACAAATGGGAGCTGAACAATGGGAACGCTTGGCCACACAAAGGGTAACAACACACACTGGGGCCTGTTGGGGGTAGGGTGGGGAGAGGGAGAGCATCAGCAAAAATAGCTAACGCATGCTGGGCTTAATACCTGGGTGATGAGTTGATCTGTGCAGCAAACCACAATGGCACACATTTACCTATGTCACAAACCTGCCCATGCTGCATTTTTACCCTGGAACTTAAAATAAAAACAAAAATATAATTTAAAAAAAGAAAAAGAAAAGAGATGCCAGCAGATTTTTCAGTGGACATAATGCAAAAGAAGCAATATCTTTAAAAACAAAAGCAAAATAAAACTGTCAACTGAAAATTCTATACACAGAAAATCTTTTAAAAATAAACATTAAATATGTTTATAGATGACTGGAGATGATAAGTTTGTGGATAAATATATAAGATGTTTTCTTATTTAATTCTCTTTCAAAGATAATTATTTAATCAAAATAAATGTATTGTGATATTGTATATGTAAAATTGAACCACCTTGAAGTTCTTCTAATCCATGTGAAGTGCGATAATCTAACTTGATCGTGATAAGTAAAAGATGCACACTATAAATTCTAAAGTAACTGCTAAAATTAAGCAAAACAAAGAGTAATCGCAAATAAGCCAACAAAGCAGGTAAAATGGAATTTTTAAAAGATATTTAATTAACCCAAAGAAAGGCAAAAAGAAAGGAAAAGGGAAACAGAAAACAGATGAAGCAAATAAAATGAATAAGATGATAGCATCAAACCTAACTATAAATAATAATGTTAAATTTAAATGGTATAAATGCCCCAAACTAAAAAACAGAAATTGCACAATTGGCTAAGAAATTGAAAACCAGCTTTATGCTGCCTATGAAAAACTTTAGGATTCTTTTTTTCACTTTGAATATAAAAACACAAATAGACTAGAAGCAAAAGAATGGAAAAAAGTTTACCATGCTAACATCAGTCAAAGAAGGCTACAGTGCTAGGCACAACAGCAGACACGTAATCCCAACAACTCAAGAGGCTGATGTGGGAGAATCATTTGAGGCAAGAAATTCAAGACCAGCCCTAGCAACAGAGTGAGACTGCATCTATAGAAAAATTAAAAAAAAAAATTACTTTGGCATGGTGGCACATGCCTGTAGTTCAGTTACTCAGGAGGCTGAGGTGGTAGTATAAGTAAAGCCTAGAATTTTGCAGCTGCAGTGAACTATAATTTCACCACTGTACTCCAGCCTGGGAAACAGTGTGAGACTCCATCGCTAAATAAATAAATAAATGCTGCACTGTTTACATTAGTATCAGAAAATGTAGATTTCAGAGCAAAGAATATTATCAGAGATAAATTTCACTTCACAATGATAATTGGGTTAATTAATCAAGAGAACATAAGAGTCCTACATGTTAAGCAGCTAAAAACATAGATTAAAATTATGTAAAATAAGATCCAATATTACTGTAAAGAGAATTAGATAAATCCATAATTAACATTAGGTATTTCAATTATCCCATTTGATAAAAGGAAAAACAAGTAGATAGAAAATAAGTAGGGATATAGAGTTGAACACTCTCAAGCAACTTTACCTGATGGACATGGTAGACTATACCACCCCAAAACAGAGGAATATATATTTCTTCAAGTGTACATGAAATATTTAATAATAAAGACCACATGCTATGTCATAAAACAGATCTTGATACATTTAAATGTATTAAAATAATACAAAGTATGTTGTTTGATGACAGCAAAATTAAATTACAAATTAACAGAAAAACCATTGTCCAATGTCCAATGTCCAATATTTGAATACTAACATACTTCTAAATAACTCATGAATCAAAGAATAACTCAAAAAAGAAGTTAGAAAGTATGCTGAACTGAATGAAATTAAAATAAGAACATACGGGATGCTATTAAAACAGTAATTATGAGAAAATTTATGGCACCAAAGGCCCACAATAGAAAAAAAAGAACAGTCTCCAGTCAATGACCTTGCCTTCCACCTAAGAAACTAGGGGACAAAAAAGACAAAAGTAAATCTAAAGTAAAAAAAAAAAAGTAATAACAAAAATAAAAGCATACATAAATAAAATAACAAACAGAAAAACAGTTAAAAACATCGATGAAAACTAAAGATTAACATTTTATTAATAAAATTTATCATCTGCAAACCATACTGATCAAAAAAAGATAAAAATAATATGAGAACATAGGTGATAACACTACAGATTTTACAAATATTAAAAGTAAAATAAGAAAATAATAATAACATTTATGCCAATAAATTTTACCACTTGGATGAAATGAGAGAATTGTTCAAAAGACAAAAATTACACAGGAGAAATAAAGAGAAAAGTATAGAGCAATATCCCTCACAAACATAGGTACAAAAAAATCTAAACAAAATTTAGCTATTGAATCCAACAATATTTTAAAAGCATAATACACTTTATCTAAGAGGGGTATATTCCAGGAATGCAGGTCTCATTTTACATTCTAAAATGAATCAGTTAATCAACCTGAAAATAAGAATTATATGATTATCTCAATAGATTCAGAAAAAGCCAAACATTCATTCCTGATGAAGGCTCCTAACAAGCTAAAAATAGAAGGGAATGTCACAAATCCAACAAAGAACACCTATGAAAAACTGACCACTAACATTATGCCTAATAGTAAAAAAAAATTGTATGTAACATACCAGACAGTAAATATGTTAGACTTTGCATGCCACATACACATTTTGTTACATATTTGTGTTTCTTTTTGTTTTGCTTTTTTAAACCATATATATAATATATTATATATATGGTTTAAATATATATAATATATTATATATGTTTAAATATATATAATATATAACAATATATAATATATTATATATGTTTAAATATATATAATATATAACAATATATAATATATTATATATGGTTTAAACATATATAATATATAATTATATATATTACATATAATTATATATTATATTAGTACAGACTGCATAAAACAGATAAATATATAATATATTATTAAAGACTGCATAAAAAAGATAGAACATAAAAATATAGAAAAACAGACCATAGGACAGATTTGGCCTCTGGGCCACACTGTGCTGATTGCTACTGTATAGAAAATCCACTGGAATCTACCAAAACTCATCTAAAACAAATAAGTTTAGCAATCTTTTAGGATACAAAATTAGTATACAAAAATTAATTACATGTCTGTATACTAACACTTAACCAGAAATTGAATGAAAATAACATCATTTATAATAGCATCAAAAAATATAAATTATCTAGGAATAGATCTGGCAAAAGAAAGAGACATGTACTGAAAACTACATAATATCATGAGAGAAACTAACAAAGACACAATAGCGACATATATGTTGTTCAGTTGTTCATGAGTTAGAAGACTCAGCATTGTTGTCTTTTTTTTTTTTTTTTTTTTTTTTTTTTTTGCTGAATTGATCTATGAATTCAAGACAATCCCAGTAAAAATTCCACCAGGATTTTATTGTATAAATTGACAAGTTGATCAGAAAATTCATGTGGAAGTGCAAAAATTTTGAATAACCAAAACAACTTGAAATAGAATAAATTTAAAGGACTAATACTATTGTTTTCAAGTGCTAATAATATGGTTTTCAAAAGTTATTAAAACTGTAAAATATTCCCAACATTGTGGTATTTGCATAAAGTTAGACAAATAGATTAGTGAAATAGAATACAGAGATCAGAAATAGACTCACACATTGTTGACCACATTATTTTCAACTAATTTTTCAGAAATGCACAAAGGTATTTCAGTGGAAAAAAAATTAATAAATCATACTGGAACAATTAGTTATCCATAAAGTAACCTGGATCTATACAACTACAAAAATTAACTCAAAATGGATCGTTGATGTATTTGTTCATTTTCACACTGCTATAAAGAAATACCCAAGACTGGGTCATTTATAAAGGAAATAGGTTTAATTGACTACAGTTCCACATAGCTAGGGAGGCCTCAGAAACTTACAATGATGGCATAAGGCAAAGGGGAAACAAGCACCTTCTTCACAGTGCAGCAAGAGAAAGAAAAGGAGGAACTTCAAAACATCTTTAAAACCATCAGATCTCATGAGAACTCACTCACTATCATGAGAACAGCATGGGGGAAACTGCCCCCATGATCCAATCACCTCCCTCTCTCAACATGTGGAGATTATAGTTCCCTCCCTCAACACATAAGAATTACAATTCGAGATAAGGTTTGGGTGGGGACACAGAGCCAAACCCTATCATTCTGCCCCAGCCCATCCAAATCTCTTGTCTTTTTACATTTCCCAACCAATCATGCCTACGCAACAGTCCCCCAAAATTTTAAATGATTTCAGCATTAACTCAAAGTCCATAATCCAAAGTCTCATCTGAGAAAAGGCAAGTCCCTTCTGCCTATAAGCCTGTAAAATCAAAAACAAGTTAGTTCCTTCCTAGATACAATGGGGATACAGGCATTGGGTAAATGCTCCCATTCCAAATGAGAGAAATTGGCCAAAACAAAGGGGCTATAGGCCCTGCACAAGTCCAAAATCCAGTGGGGCAGTCATTAAATCTTAAATCTCTGAAATAATCTCCTTTGGCGCCATGTCTCATATCGGGGGCATGCTGATGGGAGAGGTGGGTTCCCATGGCCTTAGGCAGCTCCTTCACAGGCTGATATTGAGAGCTTGTGGCTTTTCCTGGTGCATGGTGCAAGTTGTCATTTGATCTACCATTCTGAGGTCTGGAGAATGGTGGCCCTGTTCTCACAGCTCCACTAGGCAGTGTGCCAGTGGGGACTCTGTGTGGAGTCTCCAACCCCACCTTTTCTTTCCACACTGCCCTAGTAGAGGTTCTCCATGAGGGCTCTGCCCCTGTAGCAGACTTCTGCCTAGATATCCAGGCATTTCCATATGTCCTCTGAAATCTAGGTGGAGGTTTCCAATCTTCAATTCTTGACTTCTGTGTACCCACAGGCCCAACACTGTTGCAGTCTTTCTTCCCCTTAGCTCAGATAAGTCTGAGGTCTTGTCTCACAACCAGGAAGAATTTCCAGTGTGCAGACACTGGAAAGTGAGTGGAGTAGAATTAATTAAGCAAAAGAGAAACTCTCAACAAAGAGAAATGTGGCAGGAAGGGGATGGTTCCCCTACCCAAAGACTGGAAAGTACCTCTTTGTGGCTGGGACTGGGGCTCTTTATGGACTCAGAATGAAGAGTGTGTGCTGATTGGTCTGTTGGTATGCCAAAAAAAATAAATAAATAAAAAGTTAAAGTGAAGACACCACTCAAAGCTGGCCACAACAGTGTAGAAAACTAATTAGGAAAGGGTAGGTATATGTAAAATAGGTGAAGGGTGGGTATCAATCAGAGGAGAGTGCACCAAACAAGAAAACAAGTTCTCAATCCAGTACAAAGATTTAACTTGTAGCTTGGCTTTCAGGTTTTAAACTGTCTTTGGCTTGAAGGTGGGGTTTCACCAGGAACCCAACCCTATCTGCCTAGGCATCTGGCTGCCTCCTGCCACTCTCAACACCATATGGAAGTCACCAAGGCTTGGGGCTTGCACCCTCTGAAGCAACAGCCCAAGCTGTACCTCAGCCTGTTTTAGCTGAGGAAAGAGATGTAATTGACTCATGGTTCCACGTGACTGGGGAGGCCTCAGGAAACTTACAATCATGACAGAAGGTGAAGGGGAAGCCAGAACCTTCCTTACAGTGCAGCAGGAGAGATAAGAGAGAAGGAGGAACTTCTAAACACTTTTGAAACCATCAGATCTCAGTAGAACTCACTCACTATCATAAGAACAGCATGAGGGAAACCACCCCCATAATCCAATCACCTCCCTCCCTAAACTTGGGGCTTACAGGTTCCTCCCTCAACACATGGGAATTACAATTCAAGATGAGATTTGGGTGGGGACACAGAGCCAAACCATATCAATAGACCTAAATGTAAAACCTACAACTATAAAAACTTTAGAAGAAAAGATGAACAAAAACCTCTACGACCTTTAGATAGCCAAAGATTTTTAAACTACCACATTAAAACAATGATATATAAATTTAATGTCATTAAAATTAAAAATAACTACTATTCAAAGACACTGTTAAGAGAATGAAAAGACAAGCCACCTGGAAGAAAGTCTGTAAACAACAATAATAACAGCAACAATTATCAAATAAAGGATGTACCCTGGAATATAGGAAGAACTCTCACAACTCAATATAAAGAAAACTTAAAACTCAATTTTAATTTTTTTTAAATACAAAGAAGATATGTAGGTAACAAATACACACATTAAAATGCTCATCATCATTCATCATTTAAAAAATACAAATTAAGGTCACAATAAATACCACTACACCATTATTAGAATGGCTAGAGAGTGACCATGCCAAATGCTGGGGACAATGTGAGGGCCATGGTATTCTCATGCACTGTTAGATCTGTGTCCCTATAATGATGTATGTATGAATGCTTTCAACATTCATAGCAACCCTATTGGTAGTGACCAAAAACTTGACCAACCCAAATGCCCATCAATGGAAGAATATGTAACTAAATTGTGGCATATTCTTTAATGGAATACTACTCATGTTGTTATGTTTTTATTTGTGTACTCTAAGTTAAAGTAACACATTTTTAAATCTTTCACAGATAGAAGATAAAGAGGCTTTGAAAAATTTATGACTTATACTATTAAAAATCAGGCATAATAGCTGTCAAGTCGTACATCATCAAATAGAACTAGATAAGGACTATGATATTATACTTTAAAATTAAAACATAAAACACATGTTTATGTTCATACTTAAATATTACTTATTTCATGTACAAAATGAAGAAATAATCATACTATCTATGACAAAAACTTTGCAACTATCACATGCATAATTACACTGGGTTCACATCTCATTATTCTTCTATAGAATATTCAAGAATAGAACTTCCACGTGATTCATCCTGTAAGGAATTGTTTTAATAGCTTATTTTAACAAAAGAAATGAAAATAAAATTGAGACATTATTATTTTTCATTTTCAACATTTATGACTTAATAAATGACTAAAACAACTTGCATACATGCATGAACAAAATTGGAGAAATTAACAGCCATTTGGCTAATCAATGTTTCTCTTTTTTACAGAGGAAATTTTGCAAATATGCCTCCTTACGTAAGAGGAGAATCTTGCTCTCTCTGCTCAAAAGAAGAGAAATGTGTAAAGAACCTCTGCAGTAAGCAAAAATATATATATATAATTACATTTAGAGAGTAAAGTTTCCATATATTTATTAAATTTTAAAATTTGGCTTCTCAAGTTTACAAACTATGGACAAGATTTGACTGTTGTTATCTTACGATATAAATCATGTCATAAATTGTAATACTTAAACTCAGATGATTCCTGCTTTCTTCACTGATTACTCCCCCTCTGAAGCTAAAGAGCAGAAAGGAATGAGGTACAACCATGATTCAATTTGCTGCTGCACTGAAAATAACTATGGGTTGAAATGCTTCTTATTTTTACTCGCTTTCATTGACCTCTTGTTATTAGTTATTAGAATAGTGACCCATTCAGAAGTAATTTGTCAGTCAATGTCCAAAGTAATTATGATTTAAAACTAACATGTTTCTCTTTCATGATCAGCTTTTTGGTTCTCAAAATAAATATGCTTTTTAAGACTAAAAGTATAAATTTTGGGCAGTGAGGCCAGAGGAAAAAAAAATGGAGCCATGTGTCAACAAAATATCAAACTCTGTAAAACATTTGAAGAGATTTATTCTGAGCAAACATGAGTGACCAATGGCCTGTGAGACAGCCCTCAGGAGACCCTGAGAACATGTGTCCAAGGTGGTCAGCCTACAACTTGTTTTTTACATTTTAAGGAGACTAAGACATCAATCAATACATGCAAGATGTACATTAGTTCTGTCCAGAAAGGCAAGACAACTGGAAGTAGGGCTTGCAAGTCAAAAGTCAAAGGCAGATTCAAAGATGTTCTGATTGGCAATTGGTTGAGTTAAGTAATTGTCTAAAGGCTTACGATCAATAGAAAGGAATACCTCGGTTAAGATAAGGGGTTGTGGAGACCAAGGGTTTATTAAGTAGATGAAACCTCAAGATATCAGGCTTCTGAGAGACTAGATTGTAAATGTTTCTTATCAGATTGAAAGAGTCTCTTCTATTAGACTTAAGATCTGTATTGGTGTTAATGCTGGTCAGCTTTTTCTGAATTACAAAAGGGAGGAAGGTATAATGAGACATGTCTGACCTCCCCTTTCCCATCATGGCCTGAACTAGTTTTCAGGTTAACTTTGGAATGCACCTTGCCAAAAGTAGAGGTCCATTCAGATGGTTGGGGGGCTTAGAATTTTAGTTTTGGTTTACATTCTCCCCCTTCTGGCCAACATTTGCCATAGGCAAGATCAATGGCCAGTAAACATTTACTTTATCGCATAGTGTTGTCAGGGTGGCATGGCTGCCTGCCCCAGGTTCATCCTGTCCCTCAGTGGAACCCCTATTGCCAAGGGACCTAGATCCAAAAACTTATAGCCAATTTAAATGTTCCAGCCCAGATGGGAATGGACATAGACAGGCATTCATTAACTGTTAAATTTTTTTAAGTAATATAAAAGCCAACAAACAAAAACACAAAGGTGAAGATACAAAATTAACTTATCTTTAACTTCTATACATTGAGCTGCTGTAATCTTGGTTTTAGTTACAGACTTATAGCAATTAGCTACACAGAACATAAGCATTATTAAAACCTTTTAAGCTAAGGAATTTAGAGCTTTTTGTTGTGCCACATTTCTTTTTGTTGTCTTTAGTAATGTGTCCCAAGGTGTCTGATAAAAATTTTTAATATATAATTATCTTCATAAATCTCATAACTGGGAGTACCCAGGAGGCTTTGTCATGGGTATCTTTATATTCTTTCAGTAATAATTTGTTTTTAATTCTACAGGAATCAGCAAATTATTTATGGTTAGAATGGATTAAAAGGTGCCACATAACAGCTCAGAAGGCAAAGTCCCTGTTTTACCAGCTGTTTAGGCATCTGTGTACCCATCCTTCATTGAGAGGATCTGAACTAATTATATCCCTCAAAACCAGCCCTTGTAATCTCATGCAACCACCTCTTGCACAATAGTCCCTGGGCCTAGAGGGAAGGTGCTTGTATAGTTTTAGCAACAGAGCATATGCAATGAAAAGCAGATCAGGCTCAATGGGATTCCAAATGAGGAACATCTGTAGGTTTTGTCAAATCATCTGTTGTCTTCAGAATGCCATGATTCTGGTTTTCCTGGAAGAAGTAAAACCATGAGCAATAAATCACATTAATAATTTGACAATTAAAAAAGAATGTGTGTGTTAGAACAGAAAAAGGAAAGTATTCATTAGAACAGAAAAAGGAAACTATTCCACTAGGGCACTAACTAAAAACATAAAAAATTATAACCTGATACTCTTTAGAGGATTACTGTAGCCAAGAGATAATTCATAATTCCTTTTACCTTCTTTTGCATATAACTTTTAAATAACCTTTGAATGAAACAAACATTATTTACCTTTCAATAAGAATACATTTTTAAAAAAATGTTTTCCTATCATTTTTTAAGTTGGATGTTGCCCAGAGAGTTAATGAATATACATTGTTAAATATAACTTTAGATTCAAACAAACTTTAGACAAGTTTTTTACAAACATTTATTCTATTACATTTACCTCATTATTTAATAGTTCACCTACAGTATTTATAAAAACTGTGATAGTCATCATTTAAAATTATTTCCCTGTTAACCATTTTTATACCCTATGAATTGTGGGTGTTTACTCAAGAAATAAACTTAAGGCTAACTATATGAGTATTTTACCAATAATTCAGTATGTAGCTGTTTTCATTAAACCAACAATACCAAATGTCTTATTTAGCAAAAATTACACAAGCAAAGATCATTCTGTTTTGGGCTGGCTTTATAGTTTTATAACCCTTATGCAAAATTTTGACACCTTATAATATTTGCCAGGGATAAATATGAATCCACTTGATCAATAAACAAAGAAAAATGCTACAATTCTAATTCTAATGTTACTTTACAAAGAATTTTAAAGCCAGTTTATTTATTAAAGATTTTATTTAAGTCATGTGAACTTGAAAAGCATGTGGGCTTATTATTTTACTTAATTTATGACTACTCTTAACTTTAAGCCAGTTTGGTACCTTGTGGCCACAATCCATAACAAAATACATAAACACATACATACACACTCATAGAAAGATCCCATTTTTTATTTCAGAACTTAAGCCATAAGATATTAATACAAACTCACTGGTTTACAGAAAGGAAGAAGATTGGATCTAAACAGTGGGTTTTGTCTCAGTAGAAAAGTAACAGCAGATTTAAAGCAGGCAGAAAAGAAAATAGAGAAGTAGAGAACTTAGGAACTCTTGAGTTGCAGATTGACCTTTGGGCTATGAATTTTTCTTTGATGTAATTTGCCTATTAGCTTAAAATGTGCAAAACAGACCATAATATGTAACTAGTTTGGGTACTAGTAAACCTGGCATGCCCTCAAACTTTTTCATTTTGCACAAACACTTGCAAAGAGAGGCACCCTAAAACTAACACGGCACCTCAAAGTGGATCATTCTTGTCTTTCCTCTTCTTCAGATTGTTGCCTACTTTTTTTTTTTTCTTAAAAGGAGGAATGGAGCTGTGGCCTAGGGTTTTTTTGTGTTGCAGATCAATGTGTGCTGATTTTGGGTGAGACTGCAGTGTTTTACCAATGAGTCATTTCCACGCTCTTATGTGTCTCAGTTTCTCTCTTCAGAGGTCTATCACCTCTGAGAGGGCTAAAAATGCCAAGTGAACAGCTCTATATGCATTTCTTGAATGAGTCTTTTAAAACTAATTTTGTTGAGGGTTCCCTGTAGGGCCACTGCATGTCAAAAGGGGTTAACCACCCAGACATTCCCACTCAGTCCCCAGTCACCCAAGGGGCAGCTTGCAGCTTGCAGTAACAAAATGTCCTTTCTCTTCAGAGCTGAGGAGGTAAGTCTCTCATTTATCTCTAAAAATGACAGTTTAAGTTTCTCACAAAAATGCACAGACAAGCCAACTGAGATTAATTTGGGGAGAAAACGTAATGGAGAAGACACTTTAGAATACACCTCCAAAGTGGAAACCAAATAGGGTACCCAAAAGGCGGGGGGTTCTCCTTGGCTTTAGAAAATGGCAGTGGAGAAGATCCTTTAGAATGTACCTCTAAACTAGAATTAGGATCCTAAACAACAACTTCCTAGGAGGAAAAAAAAAAAAAAAAAAAAAAGAACTTTTTGACTCTTTCGTAGTAACACTTAGCTTAAAACACAAACATATTGTATAACTATACCAAAGTATTTTATTTCTTTATGTCCGTCTATAAGCTTGTTTCCACTTACAATTTTTATTTTACTGTTTAAACTTTTTGTTAAAAATTGAAATACGAATACACACATTAGCCTAGGCCTACACAGGGTCAGAGTCATCAATATAACCACCTTCCATCTCCACGTCGTGTACCACAGGAAGGTCTTGCACATCAAATTATATTCTTTTTTGTAATATATTTGTAGTTATTATAAATATTTTAGAATTTTATTTGATAATTGATTTTATTGCCTTAAAAAATTTAAATGCTTTTGTATATTAGTCTATTAACACTTTTACCAAACTCTCTTATTATTTCTGACAGTTTATTGATTTTCTTGGATTTTATATGATGACAAATCATGTCTTCCGTTAAAAATAATGCGTTTTGTTCTTTCTTCTAATCTTTATATTATTTATTTCACAAATATTAACAGATAGTTCATTCATTTCTCCAGTGCAATGTTGAGCATAAGCTGTAACAATAGACACACCCTTCTATTATTCTTAAATTTAAAGACAATGTTTCACCATTGTGTATGTTTGTTTTAGATTATTTTCATTGGTCCTCATAGCCAGGTTATAAAAGTTTTCTCTTTTCCTTATTTTGCTGAGTTTTTAATTTGAATAAATGTTAACTTTAACAATTTTTTCCTGCATCTCTTGAAATAATGCTATTTCTTTCCTTTTAATGTCTTAATATTGTAAACTGTATCAAACGGTTTCTAATATAACACAGCTACACTGTAAAATTTCAAAAGGTAGCAGGAGTTAAGTGATGCCCCAGTAATACAATATTACATTATTCTTTCATTCTCGTGATAAATCCAATTTGGTCATGAGGTTTCCTTAAGAGATGGCTAGATTCTTTTTAACTTTTTATTTACAATTTTTTGCATTTATTTTTAGAATTGTGCTTGGCCATATAATTTTCCTCCTGCATTTTTCATTATTTTGCTGAGTTTTTAATTTGAATACATGTTAACTTTAACAATTTTTTCCTGCATCTCTTGAACTAATGCTACTTCTTTTCTTTTAGTGTCTTAATGTTGCAAACTGTATCAAAGGGTTTCTAATATAACACAGCTACACTGTAAAATTTCGAAAGGTACCAGGAGTTAAGTGATGCCCCAGGAATACAATATTACGTTATTCTTTCATTCTTGTGATAAATCCAATTTGGTCATGAGGTTTCCTTAAGAGATGGCTAGATCCTTGTTAACTTTTTTTATTTACAAATTTTTGCATTTATTTTTAGAATTGTGCTTGGCCATATAATTTTCCTCCTGCATTTTTCCTTGATTTTTGACTTCAAGTTTGTATTAGACTCATTTTAAAAAGTTGGCATTTGGACATAATTTTGCCTTTAGTATTTTGGTTACAGTGTGTATAAGATTCTGATTAATTTTTTAATGTTTAGTAGACATTCTCTATAAAGCTATTTTGTTCTAGTGTGAGTGTGTTATGTGTAAATTTTAATTACTAATTTTTTTCATCATTATGGGATATTTGGGTTTGTGGAAGACTTTAGCAAATTTTCTGTTTTATCCACATTTCAATGAAATTCTCTTATATTTTTGCATGTACTTCATGTGTAGTTATGTTTCATTTATGTTCTATGACTTTTGACTTGTACTTTTTCTCTTTTTTGTTGATCAATCTTTATCAGAAAATATATTTTAGCTTGGTTGGCTTCTTATTTGAGAGATACGCAATATAGCATAACAGTTATATATGTAGACCTTGGAGTCAGATGGTTTAACTCAAGAGGTGATTAAGCGTATTAAATATGATTAAATACACAAAATTATTTGAGCCTCTCAAAAAGTAATTTTTCAATACATTTTAGCTATTACTATAATTCAGTTCCAAATTTTCTATCATTTAACCCAGTTTATATTTTGTAGCATTCATCGCTGACATTATCATTTTTACTCATCTTATTTATTTATTTAATTTTAAAATTGAGTATAGATTTTTCTCTCCTCATTTTTCCACAATAAAAGGGATTTTATTTTTTGCTGGTAACCATTATATCCAAAGCTAGAATCATGCTGAATACGTAGTAGAAGGTCAAAAAAATTAATTAATTATTTTTTTAAGTAGATTATTTCCTAATGAAGTGCTGGATGCTATTAGAATGGTAAACTGGGGAGGAAAGTTTGATGTGGAAAAGACATCGAGAAATATTTGGAGTAAGGACCATTACAGAAATGAATGAGATTGTTAATGAGTTCTGCATACAAAAAATTCAACATGAAGAAATTACGTTTCTTCAGGGACGTGAATTGGGAATGAAAGAGTGGGAAAAATAAAGTTAACTACTTTATAGCTTTTTCTGGTTTTGACTTTTGTGCCTTCAACACTCAGAGGTGTTTTAGAAATATTTGTTGACATAACACTGTTGGTAGGAAGCATCGTAAAGAGTTTTAAGTACTGTAGGATTGAGTAGGAAAGTTTCATTTTCTTGTTAAAAAGTCAAACTAATTTTTGTTAGTTGATTGTCTTATTCTAAAAGCCATAAAAGCAAAGAAATATGTTTTCTTGTTTTATAACATTTTATAATATTAACTTTAATTTTTACTTTAGGGACTCCACAACTTATTATACCTAACCGTATGTATCAAAATATTTTAGTATTAATTAAATTATTTCCTCCCGTTGAAAATCAATTGAACTCTTAACTATTCTGGTTTTGTTTTTGTTTTTGACAGAAAATCCATTTCTGAAGCCAACGGGGAGAGCACCTCAGCAGACAGCCTTTAATCCATTCAGCTTAGGTTTTCTTCTTCTGAGAATCTTTTAATGTCATTTATATACAAAAGAAATTCTCAAATGTTAAAATAAAGGAATAGTTTATTGCTTAATATAACTTATCATCACTTTGCTTCTTTACTGAATCTTCTACACTCTTGCCTGATACCTAAATTTAATGTTTGTTTTTAACTCAAAAAATGTACTGTAGTATGGAAAATGGATAGCAGTAGAATAAAGTCTTAAGATTATTTTTTAATTACAAATCCATATGTGTATCAAAAGTGTTCCACTCTTTAATTTTCTAATGAGAATGGATTATCATTTTAGTTATAGTACATTTAGAGAACTAAAGACTTTTCACATATCAAATAGTTTCCTTAGATACCAATAGTTTCCTTTATGAATACCATCAACATCATTCAGAAACAAAATGTTACTGAGGAAAGTTTTTTCAGATAGCATGTAATGTTATACATTATGGCCATAATCAATGGTTGGGGAATAAATCAATGAATTAAACTCAAAAAGTTAAATTAACTAAATTTTCAACCTTTAAAAAGTAAATATATGTTCTGCAAATTAAAGTTGCACTCTTCTAGGAGATTTATTTTTAAATATGCCCCACAGAAAATAACAGGATGCTAACAGCATATCTTTTAAAAGCCATATAAAATTAGTATAGGTAACAACATTTCTACAAACCAGATAATTATTCAGTACTGGCATTTCTTTTTTCTGAAGGAAAAAAACATAATATTTAATAAATTCAGTTTTCAAAATCATCAATGCTGAATTGTTGACTCCTGTGGAGTAAATTATCTGGATGTTTTTCTTCTCAACTAAGGCAAGCTCCAGCTTCCCTCAGCTATTGCATTAGGGCTCTCTAAAGGGACAGAACTACTAGGTTATATGCATGTATAAATGAGAATTTATTAAGGAGAATTGACTCACATGATCTATAGGTGAAGTCCCATCTGTAAGTTGAGAAGCAAGGAAGCCAGCAGTAGCTCAGTCCAAGTTTCAAAATCTCAAAAGTCGGGAAGCCGACAATTCAGCCTTCAGTGTGTGGCTGAAGGCCTGAGAGCACCTGGTAAACCACTGATGTAAATCCGAGAGTCCAAAAGACGAAGAACCTGGAGTCTGATGTTTGAGGGCAGGAAGCATCCAGCACACGAGAAAGATGAAGGCTGGAAGATTCAGCAAGTCGGCTCTTCCATCTTCTCCTGCCTGGTTTATTCTAGCTGGCAGCCGATTGGATGTTGCCCACCCACATTGAGGTGGGTCTGCTTTTCCCAGTTCACTGCTCTCCTTTGGCAATACTCTCACAGACACACCCAGGAACAATACTTTGCATCCTTCAATAAAGTTGACAATATTAACCATCACAAGTCCACCCCTTGTCTACTTGAAAAATACACATCTCCTGAAATCATATATAATCTCCAAATAAAGACAATAATAAGGTTATAATTATGTCTAATATAATACAGCTATCCTTTGTACAACCGGAAGTGCTCTAATCATTAACCTAAATGTTATTACATAAAGTTAAGAACACTTAAATGTCTAAATGAAGTCAGTAAATCTTATGTCACATGATAAAGGAAAAATAGAGGGAATAAAATGAAGATACTTTCTTAGTACAAGTGTATACATGCACAAACATATTCTTAACAAAATAAGGAGAAAATACTTATGACAATTACAGTCCTCGTTTCTGCAACTGGTCACGTGGTTGTATTTATGACTACCTGTTGTTAGTTTCCCATTGACCTTAATCACAGGCATGGCAAAACTAAGAAACGCTCTATGGAGTCTCCTGTATTCCATACATACTCTTCCTTACCTCCATTAAGGAGTAGTAGGTTGATTTCATCTTTTTTGTTTGTTTGTTTGTTGTTTCTTTTTTGAGACGGAGTCTCTGTCGCCCAGGCTGGAGTGCAGTGGCACGATCTTGGCTCACTGCAACCTCCGCCTGCTGGGTTCAAGTAATTCTCCTGCCTCAGCCTTCCGAGTAGCTGGGATTACAGGTGCCCATCACTGCACCCAGCTAATTTTTGTATTTTTAGTAGATGGGGTTTCACCATGTTGGCCAGGCTGGTCTTAAAGTCCTGACCTCAGGTGATCCACCTGCCTCAGCTTCCCAAAGTGCTGGAATTACAGGTGTGAGCCACCACGCCCAACCTGATTTCATCTTGATAGTTTAAGTCAATCACCCCAGCCAACACTATAACTCTTGTTAGCCTGTTGACTTAGAGGTAGGAGGAGCCCAGAGTAACCAGGTGGCAATCCTAACCTCCAGTTTAATAGAATACTTCTTGTATCTCCTGGTGGCAGCATTTCTCCCTCTGGAACTAAGATCTGTAGACCAGCAGAACGTAATGTCATGGGAACAGGAAGCAAAAATTTTGCTAGTGGATCACTAGGGGTGATGGTGAGTGGTGCCACTTCCACTTCCACCCTTTGATGCCTGGACTCGTGAATCCTGGCTATGAGAGAAACTGTGCCATATATTGGATGCTGATTCAGAGCATACATAGCTTCTGAAGAACTTTGCCCCAGCTCTGTAAAGTATTGTCACCTAATTGGCGTAATTATGACTTCAAAAGGCAATCCCACCACTCTATCAATCCAGCTGCTTCAGGATGATGGGGAACACGGTAAGACCAGTGAATTCCATGAGCATGAGCCCACTGTTGCACTTCTTTAGCCACAAAGTGAGTGCCTTGGTTAGAGGCAATGTTGTGTAAAATACAATTATGGTGGATAAGACATTCTGCAAGTCCACAGATGGTAGTCTTGGCAGAGGCATTTTGTTTGCAGATAGGCAAACCCAGATCCAGAGTACATGTCTATTCCAATGAGGATAAATCACTGCCCTTTCCATGACGGAGGCAGTCCAATGTAATCAACCTGCCACCAAATAGTTGTCTAACCACTCCAAGGAATGGTGCCATATCGAGGGTTCAGTGTTGGTCTCTGCTGCTGACACATTGGGCACTCAGCAGTGGCTGTAGCCAGGTCAGCCTTGGTGAGTGGAAGTCCATGATGCTGAGCCCATGTGTAACCTTCATCCCTGCCATGATGGCAACTTTGTTCATGAGCCCATTGGGTGATGACAGGGGTGTCTGGGGAAGAAGGTTGAGTGGTGTTCACAGAATGAGTCATCCTATTCACTTATTATTAAAATCCTCCTCTCCTGAGGTCAACCTTTGGTGAGCATTCACATGAGATACATATATCTTCAGTTTTTGACCAATCATAGAGGTCCATCCACATACCTCTTCTCCAAATTTCTTTGTCATCAATTTTCCAATCATGCTTCTTCCAAGTCCCTGACCATCTACCCAAACCACTCGCTACAGCCCATGAATCACTATATTATCATACATCTGGCCATTTCTCCTTCCAAGCAAAGTGTACAGCCAGGTGCATTGCTCAAAGTTCTGCATACTGGGGAGATTTCCCTTCACCAGCATCCTTCAGGGATACCAAGAAAGGGGCTATGGTGCTACAGCTGTCCATTTTGGGGTGGTGTCTGTATATCATGCAAAACCATCTGTAAACCAGGCCCTAGTCTTCTTTTCCTCTGCCAACTGATCATAGGGAACTTCTCATGAGGCCATCGATGCAGGCTGGGGGAGAGAAGGCAGGATGGCAGGAGTGGGGGCCATGGTCATTTGAGCCACTTCCTCATGTAACTTGTGCCTTCAGGATCTGCTTGCGCCCCATCATGTATATACCACTTCCATTTGATGATGAAATGCTTCTGTGCATGCCCAACTTTATGGCTAGATGGGTCAGAAAGCACCCAGTTCATGATAGGCATTTCAGGTTGCATGCTAACTTGATGACCCACAGTCAAACGTTCAGTTTCTACTAAAGCCCACTTACAGGCCAAGAGCTTTCTCTCAAAATGAAAGTAGTTATCTGCGGAAGATAGCAGGGCTTTGCTCCAAAATCCTAGGGGTCTCTACTGTGATTCACCTATGGGAGCCCGCCAAAGGCTCCTAACAACATCTTATCTGCCACTGACGCCTTAAGCATAATTGGATCTGCTGGGTCATATGGCCCAAATGGCAGAGAAGCTTGCACAGCAGCCTGGACCTGTTGCAGAGCCTTCTCCTATTCTAGACCCACACTCAAAACTGGCAGCCTTTCGAGTTACTCGACAGATGGGCCAGAGTAACACACCCAAATGAGGAATGCGTTGTCTCCAAAATCCAAATAGGCCCTCTAAGCATTGTGCCTTTTTCTTGGTTGTAGGAGTGGCCAAATGCAACAACTTATCTTTCACCTTAGAAGGAATATCTCCACAGGCCCCATAGCACTGGACCTCTAGGAATTTCACTGAAGTAGAAGGTCCCTGAATTTTAATGGGGTTTATTTCCCATCCCCTCGCATGCAAATATCTCACCAATGAGTCCAGTGTCTTTGCTTTTTCTCACTCATTGGGTCCAATAAGCATTATGTTATCAATGTAAGGGGCCAGTGTGATACCTTGTGAAAGGGAAAAGTGATATTTCTGCAAACAAGATTATGACATAAAGCTGGAGAGCTGATATATCCCTGAGGTAGGACAGTGAAGGTATACTGCTTGCTTTGCCAACTGAAGGCAAATTGTTTCTGGTGGGCCTTATGGACAGGAATCAAGAAAAAGGCATTTGCCAAATTAATGTCTGCATACCAGGTACCAGGATATGTGTTAATTTGCTTGAGCTATGAAACCACACATGGTACAGCAGCTGCAATTAGAGTCAACACTTGGTTAAGCCTAGGATAATTCACTGTCATTGTCCAAGATCCATTTATCTTCTGCACAGGCCAAATGAGAGAGCTGAATGGGGATGTGGTGGGAATCACCATCCCTGTTTCTTTTAAGTCCTTCATGGTGGCACTAATCTCTGCAATCCCCCCAGGGCTGCAATATTGTTTTTGATTTACTATTTTTCTAGGTAGAGGCATCTCTAATGGCTTCTTTTTGGCCTTTCCTACCACAATAGCCCTCACCCTATTGGTCAGGGAGCCAATGTGGGGATTCTGCCAGCTGCTAAGTATGTCTATGCCTATTACGCATTCTGGCACTGGGAAAATGACCACAAGATTCATCCAGGGACCCACTGGCCCCACTGTGAGTCAGAACTGAGCTAAAATTCCATTAATTACCTGACCTCCATAAGCCCCTACTTCAACTGGAGGACCACAATGATGTTTTGGATCCCCGGGAATCAATGTCAGCTCAGAGCCAATATCCAGTAGTTCCTGCAAGGTCTCATCAGTCCCCTTTCCCCAGTGCATAGTTACCCTGGTAAAAAGCCAGAGTTCTCCTTGGAGAAGGATGGGAAGAAGATGAACAGTACAAATTTTTGGTAGTATAGTGGGGTCCTTCTTCAAGGGGATCCAGCCTCCTCTTTATTCAAGGAGTTCTGCGTCTGAAAGTGGTTCAAGTCTGGAAACTGATTGAGGGTCTGTGATTTGCTATTTTTATAATACAAATTAGTCTTTTGTCCACTCGACCTGAAAGTTTTCTGCCTATATAAATTAAGTAACAATGCTGTAGGCTTCCTATCAATTTTACTTCTAGAAACACCGTAATTAATTAGCCAGTGCTAGAGGTCTACATGAGTCATACTATTCTGATTGCTGCTTTGGCTGTGCTGTCCATTATGGTAATTATGCCCACCTTGTCTTTGACGGTTGAGTGCCACTACTTGGCCCCTGCCACCTCGGGATCCAATTATTCCCATTGAATGTAAGTTTTCCAATTGAGTGACTGTGGTTCCCACTGTAAGATCTGGCATACGGAGAGGAGCAATTGCAGACTTCAAGGATGCAGGTACTCCCCTCACAAATCTGTTTTGCAAGGTATTGGTGAAGGGTATGTCTTCTGGATCCGCCCAGTTGGAATGAGTAAGTCTAAAGTGATGAATTCACTCTAGCATTTCAATCTCTCTAAGCCTTTGGATCCCTTCGTCTACATTAAACCAAGGGACATCTGGCATTTCCAGCTCACTCACAGTGGGCCATCGTTTGATCCATGTTTCAGCTAACCAAGCAAATAAACTATTAGAACTTTTTTTAACTCCCCAAGCTGCAACATTAAATGAAGAATCCCTGTTTAGTGGGCCCATATCAATAAATTCAGCCCGATCCAACTTTATGTTTCTTCCACCATTATCCCACACCCTTAATATCCATTCCCATACCTGTTCTCCAGATTTCTGCTTACATAAATTAGAAAACTCAAGCCATTCTTTTGGAGTGTAGTGCACTTCTTCATGGGTCACACCCTGAACCTTACCTCTAGGGGCCTGCTGGGACTTGAGTCTAATTATAGGTCTAGAAGCAAACAGCAGTGTTGAGGATGTGTCCTGAGGAGAATCAGCTTTGTCTTGCCTGGCAACTGCCTCAGGCAGTACAGGGTTAATCTCCTGAAAGGTGGAAAGGCTGATGGCAGTATGGATGCGAGAAGGGATATTGCTACCACCTCTGGCAAAAAAGGCTCATCAGAATTTAGGAGCTCAGTGCCCCCAGCCTCATCCCTCATCAGGGTCCTCCCACACATCCCCATTCCAAGTTGTAGGGTCCCATTCTTTTCCAATCAATGTCCTCATTTTAACAATAGATACCTGGTGAGGCTGAGCGTGCACCTTTCATTGCAGGTCAGCCACTCGCATGATAAGAGCTTTTGTCTGATTTTCCACAATTTAGCCCTTTGTCTTCAGGAGTTAAGACTCTCACTCAGGGCAATCTTAGACGATCTGAGGCTCAGTATGGGCTTCTGGAGCTGGGAATTAGAATCCCTGAGCTCATCATTTTCTTTCATCATTTTGTCCAGGGAATTTAGAAGCAACCAACCAACTTTATTATATTCCTTGATTCTCCACATATAGTTGAAGGTATTACGTATACAGTCACTAAACTCCTTGTTTCTCAAGAGCATTGAATCAGGAGTATCAATGCATTTATTTTGCATAACTCTTTAAACAGTTCATGCCAAGAACTATCAGTGCTCTCCATCCTATTAGAAGTAGAGTCCTTAGCATTTTTGAGTCTAATCAGATTAAGCAGCCAACTCCAGAAACCCCAAAACCAACTAAAGAAATCCATCCTTTAAATTCTGTTCCTCTAAAACCACTCCTGGTACCAAAATCTGTATTTGGCAGGGTTCCCTAAAGGGACAGAACTACTAGGATATGTGCATATATGGAAGGGGTTTATTAAGGATAATTTACTCACACAATCACAAGGTGAAATCCCACGATAGGCCATCTGTAAGTTAAGAAGCAAGGAAGCCAGCAGTGGCTCAGCCCAAGTCCCAAAACCCCAAAAGTCAGGAAGCCCACAATGCAGCCATCAGTCTGTGAACAGAGGCCCGAGAGCCCCTGGTAAACCACTGGTGTAAATCCAAGACTCCAAAAGCTGAAGAGGCGGGAGTCTGATGTTTGAGGGCAGGAAGCACCCAGCACAGGAGAAAGATGAAGGCTGAAAGACTCACAAGTCGGCTCATTCCACCTTCTCCTGCCTGCTTTATTCCAGCCACAGTGGCAGCTGACTGGATGGTACCTACCCACATTGAGGGTGGGTCTGCCTCTCCCAGTCCACTGACTCAAATGTTAATCTCCTTTAGCAACACTCTCACAAACACACCCAGGAACAATACTTTGCATCCTCCAATCCAATCAAGTTGATACTTAATATTAACCATCACAGATATATATATATATATATATGCGTGTGTGTGTGTGTCTATATATATATAAAATATCTGTAATATATATAATCATTTTAAATGTATTTTTAATAGAACTGAACATTGTTTTGTATATATTGTCAGATATCTAGGAATTTCCACAAAGCTGGGTGATTGATACTTTTTTTTCTTTTTGAGACAGGGTCTCACTCTGTCACCCAGGCTGGAGTGCAGTGGTGCAATTTTGGCTCACTGCAACCTCCACCTACCAGGCTCAAGCAATTCTCCCACCTCAGCCTCCCGAGTAGCTGGGACCACTGGCACGTGCCACCACGCCTGGCTAATTTTTGCATTTTTTTGTAGAGATGGGGTTTTGCCACGTTGCCCAGGCTGGTCTTGAACTCCTAAGCTCAAAGCAATCCACCTGCCTCAGCCTCCCCAAGTGCTGTGATTATAGGCATGAGCCACTGCGCCTGGCCGATTGGTGCTATCTTTTATAAAGAAGCCAAGTAGTTTTATATTTAAGTCTGCTTACATCTGTCAGTGTTCTCCAGAGAAACACAACCAATAGCGGAGAGAAAGGGGGAGAGGGAGAAGGAGAGAAAGAGGAAGAGGTGGAGTGGGAGAGGGAGAGGCAGAAAGAGATTTTTAGTAATTGGCTCACAGGATCCTGTGGGCTAACAAGTGGAAATTTTTAGGGCAAGCTGTCAGGATGGAGATTTAAGTGAGAGTTGCTGTTGCAATCTCTAGTCCAAATGTTGAAAACTCAGGCAAAATGTTTATGTTGCAGTCTGGAGGCAGGATTTCTTTTTAAGAAAAACTCAGTCTTTGTACTTAAGGCCTTCAACTGGTTGAATGAGGTCCACTCACATCAAAAAGGATAATCTGATTTACTTGAAGTCAACTGATTATAAATTTTAATCACATCTAAAAAAATATCTTTACAGCAACATCTAGACTAGTACAACCAAACAACTGGTCACTGTAGACCAGCCACATTGACACACAAAACTAACCATCACATTACTATTTGACATCATGTATATAGAGTCTTATATTTTTAGTAACGTAAGCTTTCACTATTTGTTTAACTATTGCATTGTTAAAATTCTCATTCATAATTACTTGCTTTTTAACTTGTGGTATGAAATAACCTAAAGGTAAATTCACATGTATGTAGAGTATATTTTTCTACCTATTGCTTTGTTTATCATTTTGTTATCTTCATGTATTTTAATTAAACATTTTCATTAATAATTAAAACATCCTCTGATTTTTAATATAATTACTCCTTTACCCCTTTATACTTATTCATTCAAGAGCATATGATTTTCTTTAAGTCAGATTCAAATTTAAAATTTAAAATTTTTTTACAGAATTATATTCCCTGATGAAGAGGTACTTGTCAGAGTGTTAAATTAGCACTGCTATAGGAACTTTCAAGTTGTGACAGTTCTCAGAAAATGGAGTTTATTCACAGGACTTTGGGTCCATGCTAAAGCTATGAGCAGAGGCTAGAAAGGCAGAGCATCTCCATCTTATTAGTGGGCTTTCCTCTTATTGTCAAGAAGAGAAAATTCTGGGCCAAGGACATGTCTTTTTTATTTCTTGTGATCTTAACAACAGCCTCTTGACAGGACATCTTGGGAAGCCTGTCATTGCTTGAGGTTCCTTTACTCTGAATAGACTGTTGATAGTGACTTTAAGTAACCCTCCTATTTCACTTAGTTTGGAATTGCTAGACAAACTGCTCTAGGCTTAGCTTTTTCAAACTACTGAGAATAGTTAACTCAAGATTTAAGTAGTGCATTTTTCAGGAGATTCTCTCGTCCTGCTAGGACAAGTTTGGGTTGTCAAACTCAAGTAAGTGTGTGTTCCCAGAAATTGCTGAATCACTTCAAAATATGAAACAAAGAAATCAGATTTGCCAATAATAGTTGGGCCAGTTTTCTACCTCTTGGGAGAAATGGTGAAGAGATAGTTTAAACAGTATTCTCTGTAGTTTATTATTATTATGATGCATCCCTATCAGTAAAAAAAAAAAAAAAAAAAAAAAATTGTAGAGTGACCAAAAATCCTAGTTTGCCTGAGACTGAGAGGTTTCCTAGAACATAAGAAAACATGCCCAGACTAGGACATTCTCTAACAAATGTGGAAGTGGTAACCCTTCGATTAAATCAAAAGGTACTATATGTACATTTAACTAAATGTATTATGTATATTTTTATAATAAAGTAATATATTACAAAATACATAACAATTGAACCTAAAAAGGATGAGGTAAAATAAATTTAAAAATAAGTGTTAAAGAGATGTTTATGCCAGGAATATAAAAAGAAACACTTCTGACGGTTTTATATTATTTGCTTGCATTTGTATCTTGACAACTATATTGAATCGGCAATTTCCTCTTAGCAATTTTTGCAGGATATGTGATCATTTTGAGATGGTTTGCTTAGTTAAAACTAGGTAATTTGAACTGTAATTAAATTTACCTGTGATCACTAACTGTACCAGGGGAAATAAATAAATTCCATTATCATCACTTCGAGTGGAACTCCCATTTTCTCTCAGGAAAGCAACATATCACTTGCCAATGTCCTCCAGACTAAAACTACCAGCAACTCACCTGTAGTTATATTCACTGGGTTTGCTTCTTGCAGCTAGGGAAACTACATTGATTATTATAAGAATAACTCAATAAATATTTATTAAGCATGCTCTCATGAAAACTAATATAAAAAAACATTTATTAAGCATGCATAATATCTGGCACCATGCTAAGTGTTAATAATTATTTTTAGTTCTTGTGAATTCAATGAGTGAAAATAAGAGTATTTAAATTTAATAATAGTAATACCTAACAGTAGGTATTACTATGCCAAGCACTAAGTGCCTTACATCTAATAACTTATATAATTCCCTCAATAATGAGGTAGATGCTATTAATTTTTATTCCTTGAACTACCAGTAAAGCTAAACATATTTTCATAAACTACATTCAAATTTACCAATATATTGTTTGAGAGTTATTAAGAAAGGCTAGGAATCTTATTTTCACCTTTGATGAAAAGATTACAGGAAGTTGTTTCAAACATATGACCATACTTCATATTGACCTAATGAATACAGAAGTAATGTACATTCAGGAGTCAAATTTTAATATAAATAGTCTCGGATTTATACTCAATTTTATGGCTCAGTCTTTTAGAGACTGATATGGTCTGGCTGTGTCACCACCCAAATCTCAACTTGAATTGTATCTCCCAGAATTCCCACATGTTGTAGGAGGGACCCAGGGGGAGGTAACTGAATCACAGGGGCCAGTCTTTCCTGTGCTATTCTCATGACAGTGAATAAGTCTCATGAGATCTGATGGGTTTATCAAGGGTTTCTGCTTTTGCTTCTTCCTCATTCTCTCTTGTCGCCGCCATGTAAGAAGTGGCTTTAGCCCTCTGCCATGATTGTGAGAACTTCCCTAGCCATGCGGAACCGTACTAAGTCCAATTAAACCTCTTTCTTTTGTAAATTGCCAAATCTCAGGTATGTCTTTATCAGCAGCATGAAAACAAACTAATACAGCGACAAACGATACTTTAGTTCCAGAGGTCCAAATTCCTCCTGGAATCTAGTTATATACACTCCATCATACCTATATGTGAAAAGAGTAGATGCAGGATGAATATTTCAACTACACTGTTATTTAGACTTTTTTTTTTTTTTTTGGTATATTACCTGTTCATTTTCTTCCTCTATTTTTCTAATGGTGCTGCTGTTATTCATTTTCTTAAGTGTTTTTTTTTTTTTTTTTTTGAGACAGAGTCTCGCTCTGTCACCAGGCTGGAGTGCAGTGGCACAATCTCGGCCCGCTGCAACCTCCGCCTCCCAGGTTCAAGCGATTCTCCTGCCTCAGCCTCCCGAGTAGCTGGGACTACAGGCATGTGTCACCATGCCCAGCTAATTTTTGTATTTTTAGTAGAGACAGGGTTTCACCATGTTGGTCAGGATGGTCTCGATCTCCTGACCTCGTGATCTGCCCACCTCGGCTGCCCAAAGTGCTGGGATTACAGGCATGAGCCACCACACCCAGCCTCTTATGAAATTTGAATGGCTCCCTGTGCATCTGGGATTTTAATCCTTGGACATTTATCTAGCAAATTTCTCAGTTGCCCTATTTTACATTTTAACGAAGTAAAGTCTATCTTTCTACCTTTCAAAGTTGGCTTTTATGTGTGGATCATTTTGCTTTTCTCCTTTAATGCTTCTCATGCACAATTATCTGAATCTTAAATTTGAATTATAGAAAAGATCAATCGAGTATGTAAAGAAACAATGAGAAAGAGTCAATAAAATAAAAACAATGTTTCTAATAACATCTATACAGAGAACAAAATAATACATTTTAGTATCTTCAGTCTTATCCCATGATCATTTTCAGTAAATGTAGATTAAAAATACATTTTTAAATTTGCTAGCTTTTATCCAAATCAAAAAGCATATGGAATTAGAGTATTATTTCCTTAAAATTTCAAGTGTAGACCAGGCATGGTGGCTCACGCCTATAATTCCAGCACTTTGGGAGGCCAAGGTGGGTAGATCACCCGAGGTCAGGAGTTCAAGACCAGCCTGGCCAACATGGTGAAACCCCATCTCTACTAAAAATACAAAAATTAGCTGGGTGTGGTGGTGCATGCCTGTAGTCCCAGCTACTCAGGAGGCTGAGTCATGAGAATCACTTGAACCCAAGAAGCGGAGGTTGCTGTAAGCCAAGATCATGCCACTGCACTCCAGCCTGGGCGACAGAGTGAGACTCCATCTCAAAAAAAAAAAGAAGAAGAATTTTAAAAAATAATTTCAAGTGCAGTGTACAAGTGTACAGAAACTGAGAACTTAAGGAAACTCACAAATCATCTGAGATAAGCAAGAGGCTTAAAGTTTATCCCAAAATTGCTCTTGTTTTTAAAATTAAAGCTATATCTGTTATACATGACAACAGAAATATTAAATGGGTATGCAAAAAGTATATAAGTAGCAGAATTTAAATAATTTAATGAAACCTTATTTTCCACATTCCTTGTAAAGAAATAAATGACTCTGTCAATACCCTCTAACAATTCCAATGCCCTCAGGAAACCGAATGTGATAAATTATTTCCATCACTTTCAATATAAAATAACTTAAAACTGTTTTGCCCCAAATTTCAAAGTTCAAAAATCTACAACCATTCAAACCTTATTAGAAAATGTACACAACCTGTGATTTAATACGTATTTCATGAAACTATGATTAAATAATTCTCATGTATTACATGCCTCTTTAAATTTTTTGAAAATATATATCATAGAATATAATGCATTAAAATTTTTTTATATGAAGTATATAATGGGAGCTGATTCACTGACAGATACGAAAGATTGAATATTTGCAGAACATTGTCAGCAAACCCCACTTCTTTCTACAGAAACCAAATGAGATGCTTTTGTGTGTCCTTCCATACTCCTATCTTAGTCACCTGGGCTTAAAATCTAGCTTTACAACACTAATCAAAAGAAACCAAGATAGCTATATTAATTTTGGCTGCAGCCAACTTCAAAACAAGGAAAGTTATCAGGATTAAACAGAGGCATTACATAATAATAAAGGGGTTAATTCTCCAAGAAGACATTACAATCCTTAATGTATATGCACCTAACAAGAGAGTGTAGAAATATATGAGACAAAACTGATAGAATGACAAGAAGAAATAGACGAATCTACTATTATAGTTGGAGACTTCAAAACACCTCTATCTGAAATGTATAGATTCAGCAGGCAGAAAATCAGTAAGGACATAGTTAAACTCAACAACAACATCAATCACCTGGATGTAATAAGACGTCTATACATTATTCGACAATAGCAGAATATATATTCTCGAGCTCATATGAAACATTTACCAAAATAAACTATATTCTGGACCATAAAACACACCTTAACAAATTTAGAATAGAAATCATGTAATGCCTGCTCTCAGACCACTAGTAATTGAACTAGAAATCAGTAACAGAATGATAACCATAAAATTCCAAAATAAGAGATTAAATGGCACACTTCTAAATAACACATGGTCCAAAGAAAAAATCTCAAAAGAAATTTGAAAATATTTTTAAATAAATGAAGATGAAAACAACTTGGCAAAATTTGTGGGATGCAGCAAAGCATTGCTTAGAGGTAAATTTGTAGCATTGAATAAATATATTAGAAAAGAAGAAAGATCTAAAATCGCATATGCTTTCACTGTTAGAAACTAGAAAAAAAAGAGCAAATTAAACCCAAAGTAAGCAGAAGAAATAATAAAAATTTGAACAGAAATCAATAAAATTGAAAACAAAATTAATAGAGAAAATTAATAAAATCAAAAGCTGGTTTTTTAAGGCATAAATAAGATTGATAAGCTTCTAGCCAAGCTAACAGGAAAAGGGAAAAGACATAAATTATCAATATCAGAGATGAAGGAAGGAACATCACTACAGATCTGATAAACATTAAAAGGATAACTGAGCAACACTGTGAACAACTCCACACCCACAAACTTAATAATCTAGATGAACGGGCCACTTCCTTGAAAGACACATCTCTCACAACTCATGCAAGAAGAAATAGACAATCTGAAGAGGCCTATTCCTATTTAAGAAATTTAATTGATAACTAATAACCTTCCAAAACAGAAAGCACCAGGCCCAGATAAATTCACTGGTGAATTCTACCAAAAATTTAAAGAAAAAAGTGATCGATTCTGTATAATGTCTTTCAGAAGATAAAAGCAAACAGAATACTTCTTAACTCATTCTATGAGGCCAGCATTACCCTAATACCAAAATCCTGCAAAAACATTACAAGAAAAAAAATACTACAGACCAACGTCTCTCATGAACATAGATGCAAAATTCCCCAACAAGATACTAAGCAAATTGAATTCAACAACGTATAAAAATAATTATATTACATGATGGAGTGGAATTTATTCCAGATTGCTCTGGTCTAAATATTTTCCCCTCCAAATTCATGTTAAAATTTAATTTCCATTGAGGCAGTATTGAAAGGTGGGGCTTTAAAAAGATTATTGGGTTATGAGGGCTCTGCCCTCATGAATGAACCAATACATTCATAGATTAATGGATTAATAGGATAATAAGTTAATGGATTAATGGGTTATCACAGGAGTGAGACTAAAGGGCTTAGTAAAAAGGGGAAGAGGGACCAGAGCTAGCATGCCCAACCTTCTTGCCATATGATGCCCTGCACTGCTTCAGGACTTTGCAGAGAGTTCTCAACAGCAAGAAGGTATTTCACCAAACGCAGCCCCTCAACCTTATGTTCTCAGCCTCCATAACTGTAAGAAATAAATTATTTTTCTTTATAAATTACCCAGTTTCAAGTATTCTGTTATAAGCATCAGAAAATGAACTAAGACATAGGTATACAAGCCTGGTTCAATTTGCAAATCAACTAATGTAATAAATCACATCAATAGGCTAAAGAAGAAAAATCATATGATTATATCCATAGATGCAGGAAGAGCACTGGACAAAATCCAGTATGAACTCATAATAAAAATTCTCAATAAACTAGGAATAGTAGGAAACTTCCCTGAGATATTGATAAAGATATCAATATTTACAAAAAAAAGCTATAGCTAACTGCATACTTAATGATGAGAAACAGGAAGCTTTCTCACTAAGATCAGGAACAAGGCACAGATGCCCCTCTCATCACTGCTCTTCAACTTCATACTGGAAATCCTTGCTAATACAATAAGACAAGAAAATAAAAGGTTTATAGATTGAGAAGAAATAAAAATGTCTTTGTTTGCCGATGACATAATTATTTATGTACAAAATCCAAAGAATCAACAAACTCCTGAAACTAATCAATGATTTTAGCAAGGTTGCAGGATACGAGGTTAATATAGAAAAGTCAGTTACTTTAAATTGCTTTCCTATATACTAGCCATGAACAAGTAGAATTTAAAATTGGAAACATAATAGCGTTTAGCACACACAAACAAATACTTAGTCATAAATCTAACAAAATATTTACAAGATCTGTATGAGGAACACTACAAAAGTATGATAAAATAAATCAAAGAACTGAATAAATGAAGAAATATTCCTTGTTCATAAATAGAATGAAGAAGGAATTTGTTCATTCTATTTCCTTGTTCATAAATATTCCTTGTTCATAATAGAATGAACAAGGAATTTGTTAGGATATCAGTAATTCCCAATTTGATCTATTGATTTAATGTAACCCCAATCAAAATTTCAGCAAGTTAATTTGTGGAGACTGACAAAATTATTCTAAAGTTTATATGAAGAGGCAAAAAAACCCTGAACAGCCAATACATTGGATGAGAAGAACAAGGTTGCAGGACTAACACTACGTGACATTAAGACTTACTATAAGGGTACGTGTCTCAGTCTGTTTTGTGCTGCTATCACAGAATATCTGATATTTGGTAATTTATTTTAAAAAAAGATCAATTTCTTACAGTTCTGGAGGCTAGAAAGTCCAAGGTTGAGGAGCTTGCATCTGGTGAGGGCCTGCTGGCTGTGTCATCTGATGGCAGGAGTTCACAGAGGAAGAGAGTGCATGCACATGTGCAAAAGAAGGGAGCTGAACTCACTCTTTTATCAGGAACTCACTCCCTCAATATTTTACCAATCCTGTGATAATGGCATTAATACAATTCATGAGGACAGGGCTCTCATGACCCAATCACCTCTTAAAGATCCCACCCCTCAATGCTGTTGTATTGGGGATTAATTTTCCAGCATATGAATTTAGGGGGACATATTCAAACAATAGCAAAAATACAATAATTTAAAAGGTATAGTATTGGTGAAAGTAGAAATAAATCCATGGAACAGAATAGAGAGCTGAGAAATAGAACAGCATAAATAAAGTCAACTGATCTTTGACAAAGGAGCAAAGGCAATATAATGGAGAAATGTAGTCTTTTCAACAAATGGTTCTGGAACAACTGAACGTCCATATACAAGAAAAAAAAACCAGTCTAAGCACAAACTTTATACCCTTCACAAAAATTAATCAAAATGGATCACAGACCTAAATGTAAATACAAAAGTATAAACTCCCAGAAGGTTATATAAGAGAAAATCTAGATGATCTTTAATTTGGCAATAACCTTTTAGATACAACACAAAAGGTATGATTTATGAAAGAACAAATCGATAAGCTGGGTGCCATTAAAACTAAAAATTTCTACTCAGCAAAAGACATTCTCAAGAGAATGAAAAAACAAGCCATGGCCTGGGAGAAAAATACTTACAGAAGATATATGCAATAAAAACTATTACGCACAATATGCAAAGACTCTTTAAACTCAACAATCGAAAAACAAACAGTTTAATTTAAAAATGGGTCAAAAACCTTAATGGACACCTCACCAAAGAAGACATACAGTACTCAAATAAGCATATGAAAAGGTGCATCATATGTCACCAGGAAAACGCACATTAAAATACCAATGAAATACCACTACACACCTTTTAGAATGGCCAAAATCCAGAACACTGGCAACACCAAATGCTGACAAGGATGTGGAGGAACATGAGCTCTCATTCACTGCTGGTGGGAATGCAAAATGGCACAGCCACTTTGGAACATAGTTTAGCAGTTTCTTAAAAAACTGAACATTATGCTTACTGCCATAGTCTGTTTAATGTTGCTCATAAGAAAATACCTGAAACTGAGTAAGTTATAAAGAAAAGGAATTGACTTCTTAGAATTATGGAGGCTGAGAATTTCAAAGTCAAGGGGCCATATCTGGTGTGGCCCTTCTTGCTACTGGGGACTCTGCAGAATCCCAAGGCAGCACAGAGTATCACATGGTAAAGGGGCTAAACTAATCCATTAACCCATTAATCTACGAATGGATCAATACATTCATGAGGACAGACCCAATCACTTCTTAAAGGCTCCACCTTTCAATACTGTTACATTGGGGATTAAGTTTCAACATGAATTTTGAAAGGGACAAATATCCAAACAATAGCATTTACTATAACATATAGTTATGATCCAGCAATCATGCTCATGGTATTTATCCAAAGGAGTTGAAAACTTATGTCTACACAGAAACCTGCACAAAGATGTTTATAACAACTGTATTCACATTTGCAAATTGATATGGTTTGGCTCTGTGTCCCCACCCAAATCTTACCCTGAATTGTAATAATCCCCACGTGTCATGGGAGAGACTAGGTGAGAGGTAACTGAATCATGGGGGCAGGTTTTTCCCGTGCTGTTCTCATGGTAATGATTATGTCTCATGAGATCTGATGGTTTTATAAAGAGTAGTTCCCCTGCACATGGTCTCTTGGCTGCCACCATGTAAGATGTCCCTTTGCTCCTCCTTCGTCTTCCACTATGATTGCGAGGGCTCCCAGCCATGTGGAACTGTGAGTTCATCAAACCTCTTTCCTTTATAAATTACCCAGTCTTGGGTCTGTCTTTATTAGTGGCATGAGAATAGAATAATACACCAATACCTAGAATCAGCCAACATGTCCTTCAGTAGCTACTGGAATAAAGAAATGTTGGTACATCCAGAAAATGAAAAATTATTCAGTGCTAAAAAGAAATTAGGTATCAAGCCACGAAAAGACATGGAAGAAATTTACACACATATTACTAAGTGAAAGAAGCCAATCTGAAAAGACTACATACTGTATGACTCCAACTATATGACATTCTGGAAAAAGCAAAACTATGAAGACAGTAAAAAAAAATTAGTAGTTGCCGGGGTTAGGAGGCAGGGAGAGATGAATAGTCTGAGCACCAGGGATTTTTAGGCAGCAAAACGACTCTATATGGTACTAAATGCTGGAAACATGTCATTATACATTTATACCAACCCATGAAATGTGCAACACCAAGAATGAGCCCTAATATACACTATGAACTCTGGGTGGGAATAATGGATAAATGTAGGTTCATCAGTTGTAAATGTACTACTCTGTTGTGGGATGTTGATAATGAGGGAGTTTATGTATGTGTGGGGACAGGAGTTACATGAGAAATCTCTGTACCTTCCTCTCAGTTTTGTTGTGAACCTAAAACTGCTATTAAAAAAGAGTCTATTTTTAGAAAAGGAATTGGTAAAAAAAACAAAACAAAACAAAAAAAACACAGAAGTAGCTCTACCACTCCCTGGCTGGGTGGCCTCAGGCAATTTGATTTCTCTTTTTCTCAGTTGTTTTTCCATCTGTTAAAGGGATAATAACTATTTCTTAAGATTTGTGTGACTTGAGTGAGTTGATATTGTCCAAGCATTTTAAATAGTGCCTGACACATTAAATATTTGTGAAATAGATTAAAAATAGTATTCACCACTCTGTATTGTAACTGTTTGATGATTCATCTGTGTCACCTTTAATTAAAAGCTCCCTGTGGATAGACTCCATGTCTAGCTTGTTCAGCATTTGAGCCTTTAGCTGGGCTGTGACACACAGGAAGTACCAAGGAAATATTTATTGAATGAGATGTCTAGCAGTGGAATGGGCTTCCCTGTTGGTCTAATTATTTAAGAAAAGGATGTGATGATCACCTGTCAGTGATGTTCCGGAGAGTATACCTAACACAGGAGGCTAGCAATAGTGGCTAAAATTTCTTCCAAATCTAAGATTGCATTATTCTATTTATACTTTTTCTTTAGCATTTTTTGCAGTCTAACAACAGTACCACCATAATAAAAGAATTGCATCTTTCAGCACTTGCCACCTTCACCCTTAAATAGGTTCTAGCCATACTAAAATACTTCTAGCGTTTAGGATCTTCCTCTCCTTAGGCACATTACATGCTTTTCCCTTTGTTTAGAATGCTATCTTAGACTTGTCTGTTTCACTTTCTGTATACAATTTCCAGAAAGGCTTCCCTGCTCCTCCACAAGAGTACCAAGCAATAGAATTTTGGCTTTGTATTTATCACGTTTTAAATACTGCCTGATTGCTAATTCACTAAATTGTAAGCTGCTTGAAAGCTGGATCTGTGTCTTGTCTACTGATCTTTCTCAATCACTTAAAACTTACTACTATGCAGTCATAGTAGTAAGTATTCAAGGGCATAAATGAAACCATCTTACATAGGTCTATTGTTTTTCAATTGTGTGCATCACAGACAATTTTTAAAAGCACTTTTCTTTTTATAAATGTTTGGCTAACCTGTTACAATGTTTTGTAGTAAAATTCTCTCCCAATGTCAATTTTCCATATCTGCTTAATGCTATTAAGCACAATATGTAATATGCAAACGTGTATTCCAAAACTAATACTTGCTTTTTTTCCATGCTTAGAATTTAAAGTCTTCAAAGCAAGTTGGTTTTGTTTTGTTTTGTTTTTGAGGAAAATGTTTGGAGGTAAACAGATCAGACCAAAATCAGCTAGATATTAGCCAATTTTGTCTGGAACAAAAAAAGAAAACAAAAGAGTTCGTTCTTACTGTGAATGCCACAATTAGTGAAAAAGATGAATCTTGATATTCCGGGCTGTCTGAATTGTGCTGATGAGAGAAGAAGTAGAAATGTTTTAACCTTTGAAGAGTTTGGTGATCCCTACTCTCCCTTCACTCCCATTTATTTTGTGGTTTCCCACAAAGGTTCATTTAAAAACTGAAAAAAATCTCATCAATTAAGTTGGCCTTAAGAACTTCTTTGGCCTTAAGAACTAGCAATATTTCTGTATTCCATTCTGTCCCTGAGGAAAATAAAAGGCAGGCCCTGCACCAAATTTCCAACTCAACAGGTAATGGGGAAAAAAAATTTAATTGAATTTGTATCTGTATCGCAGAAAAATCATTTCACCTGGCACAATTAGAAGGTTCCTCAGACCTGTTACTCAGCAATTGGCATTTACCATACAAACTGATGACTCATTAATAACGACATATCATTCAGTGTCAGAAATCAATTCGGGATAACATTTCACTACATTAGTTTAGTGAAAAGGGCTTACTCACGTAACACAAGTCTTTCTTTAGTTTGTCAGACATCTATTACCAGCTTTCTTCACTCTGCAGGTCTAGCTTTCCCCTCCTCTCCCCCTCCCCTACCCACTCTCCCCTCCCTCTTCTCTCCTCCCTCCTCCTTACCCCCTCCTCCCTCCTTTGTTTTTCCCTCCTCCCTCCTCCCTTTCTCCTTCCGGGAGGCGGGACAAGGCTTGCTTGCGTCCTCCGTAGATTGGCAGGTCACTGGGACGGCCAGCGCGTGCGCACTGGCCTGTCAGCGGCCGGTGGACCATGGAGGCCGCAAGGCCCTTCGCCCGGGAGTGGAGGGCCCAGTCCCTACCCCTGGCAGTAGGGGGCGTTTTGAAGCTGCGGCTCTGTGAGCTGTGGCTACTGCTACTGGGTTCTAGTTTGAACGCCAGATTTTTGCCAGACGAGGAGGACGTAGACTTTATCAACGAGTACGTGAACCTCCACAATGAGCTGCGGGGCGACGTCATTCCCCGAGGGTCTAACTTGCGCTTCATGGTGAGGCCGGAAGGCGGTTTGCCGACCCTTCCACTACCGTTGCCACAACGCCTCCCTGGATCTCGGGTAGTTGGGGCCACTGCTCTGAGGCTGAAGGATCGCGGAGAACCGCACTTTTAGCTTGGTTTTTAAAGTACACGTGAAGTTTACACAGAGAAAAACTGCGGACACTCTAACACATGCTTATTACCATGATATTACACAGGGCCAGGACTAAGGTGATGGAGGCACTGGCCTGAAGTGCAGATTTTAAGGGGGCGCCAATTCAAGAAAATGATATTTTAATGCAACGGGTTTTTAAAAATTAAAAATCAGTGCAAAAATATCAATATCAAGGGTAAAGAAAATGTTAAAAAATTTAACAAAGACAGGTTCCTTGGGTCTGGATTAGGGAAAAACAAGTGCGACACTCTCAGGGTGGTGCAAATCAAGATGAGATTCTGTTTGTATTTGAAATTTTTATTTTTAGCTTTTTCCATCATCGATGTCACATTAGCTTTGCCTTTTAAAAATGTTTGTTATCTTGATTTTTTTTTTTTGTGCCCATTCCAAATTTGGCTCCTAAGGAAGTGTCTCAGTTTCCTCACCCTAGTCTTGACCCTGATTTTGCCTTACCTTACAATGCGGTTCTTGCTTTCCCCCTCTTTTACACCCTATAGTCATTTAACAACTCAACTATTCCCTGGTTGCTATTGAGTTTTCCTGACTGTCATTAAAATGACTGAAAATCCGGCAAATAAATAACTGTCCTCTTAGGGAATTAGAAGCTTCAAACTTATAAATTATATTGCAAGGACTACTTTCCTAGACATGTCTTTTCTTCCTTCAGCATTAGTTCTTAGCACAAATTTCAGAAATGGGATAAATAAATTAAGGGTATGATATTTTTTATTAATTTAACACATAGCAATTGCTATGCTAAAGGGTAGTGCCAAATTTAGCAAATACCAGCTGTTCTGTTTTCACCACATCCTCACTGATTTGGACATGTTCAATTACTTGCTAAATGAATAAATTACAAAAATGGTCATTTGTTTTAATGTTGATTTTAAAATACTATTTTGATAGGACATACTTGAGTTCTTTCTTCGTCATTTCCTTTACCTTTTATATTGTCAGCATTTCCATGTCAGATTATATGCTGTCTTATAGAACTATGCTAGCATTTGGTTCTATCTGCTGAAGATACTTTTTTCTAAGCCAATTCTTTTTCTTTTGAATTCAATTATAGAGTTTGGGGATATTTGGGAGTTTCAACTAATTTCCCATTTTTTGTGACTAATTCTGTTTCTTCCCAATTTGAAGATTATCCTTACTCCTGAAAATTAATAAACACATAATACTTTCTAATACAACTTTTCATAGGTTTTCTATCTCATCTCTAAAAATTATATAGTATTTCAAACATAAGGTATATAAAATAATATACCTGTATACCCACAATCGATATTTTTAAATATAGACATTTTTAAAGGAATAGTATTTGATATATAGGTTAAAGTCCCACCCTAAATTTTTACCTTTTTCTTCTTTCTTGAAGTTAATGTATATTTTTCCCATGTATTTTATTAGGACATAAATATTAACTGTAAATAGTATAGTCTATCATAATAGTATGGCCTATTTAAAATGTTTCTTTAGCAGATTTGGACATCACTCAGCTTATTTAAACTCTTTTATTGGTTATTTTTAGTATTTTAATGTATGTACTTTTTATAAATTCCAAAAGTTAATACCTGTAAACTCCACCCAAATATTAATAAGATCTTAGAACACAAATTCTGAATACTTTCCATCCTTATTCATGCTATTGCCGTGTAGTACTTTTGTTCTACCTTGCTTTTAAATACCAAAAAAATTGTTGTTTTTAAAAAATTGTATTACAATATACAGGACATAACATTTACCATTTTAACCATTTTTAAGTGTATAGTTCAGTGGCATTAAGTACATTTGCATTGTTGTGCACCCATTACCACCACCTATCTCCAAAATTTTTTCGTCTTCCTGAACTGAGACTCCATACCCATCAAATAATTACTTTACTCTCCATCTCCCCTCCTCCCAGGCCTCTATCACCATTCTACTTTCTATTCCTATTAATTTGACTTCTTAAGGTACCAAATATAAGTGGAATCATATAATATTTGTCTTTGTTACTAGCTTATTTCATTTGGTATAATGTCTATAAAGTTCACCCATGTTGTAGCATGTGTCAGAATTACCTGTCTTTTTACAGCTGAATAATATTCTACTGTATGCATATACCACATTTTGTTTATCCATTCATTGGTCAGTGGATATTTAGATTGCTTCCATTATTTGGCTGTTGTGAATAATACTGCTATAGACATGGGTGTACATTTATCTGCTCCAGTTCCTGATTTTGCTGTTTTTGGGTATATACCCAGAACTGGAATTGCTGTATCATATGATAATTCTGTTTAATTTTTCAAAGAACCCCCATTCTGTTTTCCATAGTGGCTGCACCATTTTACATTCCCACCAAGAATGTTCAAGGGTTCAATTTCTCCACATCCTTGATAACACTTGTTATTTTCTGTTTTATTTTCCTTATTCCTCTTTTTTTCTTAATGATAACCATCTAGCAGTTATGAAGTGATACCTCACTGTATTTTTTATCTGCATTTCCCTAATGATTACTGATATTGAGCATCTTTTTATTTGCTTCTTGACCAAGATTTTCTCTTCTTTGAAGAACTATCTATTCAAGTCGTTTGCACATTTTTTGGCCAACTTGTTAGATTTTTTGTTGTTGAATTATAGGAATTTTTATAGATTCTGGATATTAATCTTTTTCAGATATATGATTTGAAAGTATTTTCTCCCGTTTTGTAAGTTGCCTTTGCACTCTATTGATAATATCCTTTGATAAACAAAAGTTTTTAACGTCAATGAAGTATAATTTATCATTTTTTGTTGTTATTGTATGTATTTTTTGTCGTATCCAAGAAGTCATTGCCAAATTCAATATCATGAAGCTTTTCCCCTGTGCTTTTTAAAGGTTTTATAGTTTTAGGTCTTTGAGTTAAGTTTTGTATATTGTGTAAGGTAAGGGTCCAGCTTATTCTTTTGCATGTGGATATCCAGTTTTCCTAACTTCATTTGCTGGAAAGATTGTTATTTTCCCCATAAAATGGTCTTTCCACCCTTGTTAAAAATCGTTTGACCATATATGCTGGCATTTATTTTGGGGCCCTCTATTCCATTCTGTTAGTCTAATATGTCTGTATGCTATTAATAGTTCCACAATGATTACTGTAGAATACTGGTAAGTAGAAATTAGGAAGTGTGCATTCTTCAACTTTTTTCATCTTCTTCAAGATTATTTTGGCCATACAGGGTCCTTTCAGATTTTTTACGAATTTTGAGATGTATTTTTGTATTTCTGCAAAAAAAAAAAAAAAAAAAAACATTATTGGGATTTTGATATGGGTTTCCTTGATTTGTAACATTTTGGGTAGAACAGGCATCTTAACAATATAAAGTATTCCAATACTTTAACACAGTATGTCTTTTCACTTTCTAATATCCACCTTAATTTCTTTCAGTAATATTTTATTTTCAGTATATATGTTTTTCCCTCTTTGGCTAAGTTTATTCCTAAATATTTTATTCTTTTTGATGCTATTGTGGTGGAATGGTTTACCTAATTCCCTTTCAGATTGTTTATTATTAACATATTGAAAAGCAACTAATTTTTGTGTGTTGATTTTGTAACCTGCTACTTTTCTCTAATTTTCTGAATTTATTTATTGGTTCTAACAGTTTTTTTGTGTGTGGAATCTTTAGGGTTGTCTACATATAAGATGACTATGTGGCTACATTTCTTCATTTTGTTAATGTATTCTATCACATTGATTAATTTTTATATATCGAACCATTCCTGCACCAAGGAGTAAATTCCACTGGGTTATCATGTATAATTCTTTTAATGTGTTGTTAAATTCAGCTGTTTTTAATGTGCTGTTAAATTCAGGTTTTTGTTGAAGATTTTTATATTAATATTCCTAAAAGATACTGACCTATAGTTTTCTTATAGTATCTTTTTCTGGCTTTGGTATCAGGGTGATGCTGGCTTCATAGAATGAGTTAATAAATATTCTCCTGTCTTCATTTTTGGGGAAGAGTTTGAGAATTGATGTTAATTCTTCTTTAAATATATGTCTTGAACTCCTATTAGAATTCACCAATGACTCCATCTGGTTCTGGGCTTTTCTTTGTTGGGAGATTTGTATTACTGATTTTTATTATTATTATTTTATGAAATTATTATTTTATTATTTTTATTAAATCTTCTTATTAGTTATAGGTCTGTTTAGATTTTCTGTTTCTTCGTTACTACCTTTTGGTAGGTTGTATGTTCCCAGGAATAAGTCTTCTGTCTTTATTTCTTACTCAGTCTTGCTAAATGTTTATCATTTTTGCTGATCTTTTTGAAGAACCAGCTCATAGTTCTGTTGATTTTCTCTGTTGTTTTTCTGTTCTCTATTTTATTTATCTCTGCTTCAATCTTTATTATTTCCTTCCTCTGGTAACTTTGGGTTTTGTTCAATTTTCCTTTTCTTTTTACCTATGGTGTACAGTTAGGTTGTTGATTTGGAGTCTTTCATCTTTTTAAAAAAAATGTAAGCTCTTACACTCATACATTTTCCTCTTAGCTCTGTTTTTTGCTAAATTCCATAAGTTTAAATAGTTGTGTTTTCATTTTCATTTTTTCCCAAGGTATTTTCTTTTGTGATTTCTTTTTTGATTCATTGCTTAAGAGTGTGTTGCTTAGCATTATTATTTCATTTTTTAAATTATTTTTTGAGACAGGATCTCACTCTCTTGCCCAGGCTGGAGTGCAGTGATGTGATCTCAGCTCACTGCAGCCTTTAACCCTGGGGCTCAAGTGATCCTCCCATCTCAACCTCCTAAGTACTGGGACTACAGGTACTCACCACCACGCCCAGCTGATTTTTGTATTTTTTGTAGAGGCAGAGTTTTGCCATGTTGCCCAGGCTCGCACCTGGCCCATTATAATTATTTATGCTAGCAACTATTACTTCTTGTATTGCACTACCACTTTCTGGAATCAGTTTCCTTGTGCCTAAAATACGTCTTTTAATAGCTCATTCAGCAAGGGAGTGTGAATAGTAAACTTAATATTTCTATATGTAAAATAATCTTTACTTCACACTCTTGAATGATATTGTTCTCTCTCAGCACTATCTTCTGTCTCCCACTGTTGCTTTTGAGGTTTCTTTTGTTAGCTGAACTCAGAGGTTCCCACAGTATGGTTCCTATACCAGCAACAACAGAATCACCTGTGAACTTGTTAGAAATTAAAGTTCTCAGGACCTATCCCAGACTTACTGAATCAGAAATCCTGGTTTTGAAACCCAGTACTCTGTATTTTAATTAAAGTCCTCCAGATGATTCTGAAGTGTGCTAAAGTTTGAGATCCACTAGTCTTTTGGTTGTTATTTTAAAGATGATTTATATTTTCTCTCCAGCTACTTTAAATATTTTATATTTGCTGTTCTGTAGTTTTACCCCATACTAGTACTAAGCATGCATTTATTTTTATTTATTTTGTTCAGGACTTTTCTTTTTAATCTCTGTATCCATGTCCATTGTTAAGACTAAAATTCTTCAGTATTATTTCATAGAATGTTGCCTCTTCCCCATGCTCTCTAGTCTCCCTGTCTTGAACTCCTATTAGATGTATGTTTGACTTTTTCATTCCTTTTCTCCACAGCTCTCCATTTTCTCCCTACAGTCCATCTCTTTTTCTGTTTTCCTTCAGAGTCATTGCTTTAGAACTGCTGTTCATTCACTAGTTTTCTCTTCAGATTTTTATGATATATTTAACTGGCCAATTGATTTTTTAAAATTTCTAGACTTTTTTTTTAATTTGCTCATATTCCCCCAGTGTCCTGTTTTCTCTTATGATTTCTATTTTTACACTCATTTAATCATTTTAAACATAATTATTTTATATTTTCATAAAATATTTTTAGTGCTTTATTATTTTAGTTTCTTTGGGTGCCAGTTCTCTTGTTTTAGCTACTGAGCCTCTGTCATGTTTATAATTTTCTATCCTATGCTTATTTTCAGCAGAGATTGTGTGTGTGTGAAAGAGTCCCATATTGTCCAAATAGTGGAAAAATAAATATTGCTACAGACTAATTTTTATTAGCTTTTGCCTTACTCCCCTGTTACAGTCAGTTTTACATTTATATTTTTTATATTTATAATGTGTTAAGTTTTGATATTTAAAATTTGTTTGGGTATTCTCAGCATATATAGGCAATGTAAGTATAGTGTCCACTTGTAGGCATAGGATAGATCTAGAACTGATTTCTCACATGACATGACTTTTTTCCATCTGACTTTCTGTCACTTCCTCAGACTTCTAGGAAGGGTTTGGTGGTCTGCTTCATTTAGGAAGAAGTCGGCATCCTGATTTTTCCGCAAATATTTCAGTCCCAGAACTTGTCTTAGATGGTTCTATGGCTACATCTTCTTCCTATATTGTTGGCATTTATATCTAATCTGATATTTCCTCTCCTCCGATTAGGCACATGAGTTCACCACTCGGACTTTTAACTTTTCTCTTCATTTCTGGCACCTGAGTATTACCTTTCCTTCCTTTGAGCTCAGCTGTGGATTTAAAAAAAAAAAAAAAAAAATGCCGGGAGCGGTGGCTCACGCCTGTAATCCCAACACTTCGGGAGGCCAAGGCGGGCAGATCACTTGAGGTTAGGAGTTCTGACCAGCCTGGCCAACATGGTGAAACCCTGTCCCTACTAACAATACAAAAATTGCCGAGCGTTGTGGCAGGCGCCTGTAATCCTAGCTACTCCGAAGGCTGAGGCAGGAGAATCGCTTGAACCCGGGAAGCAGAGGTTGCAGTGAGCTGAGATCGCACCACTGTACTCCAGCCTGGGCGATAGAATGAGACTCCATCTCAAAAAAAAAAAAAAAAAAAAAAACTTTTATCATATAAAGATTGAATTATATGAATTGCTCTTCAACCATTTTTGACCTAGAAAACGCAAGCAATTTCATAGGATTTAAACTAAACATTTTATTCCCATTTTTATGGGTTTGTAATATTAGAAGATTGTGTCTTAGCTTCGTCCTCTTTGTTGCTTCAACTTTCTTACATTCTTGGATGCTAGGAGCACAGAATCCCTCCCTTCTTTTTCTGAGCTGTTCTGGGGCTGAGTGATTCCTAATTCTAACCTGACATGGTAGTACTAGGAGAAGGCTCAAGACTTAGACTCCTCTCATGTACCAGATAATGGGCTGTAGTTTTATATGTAATATCAATTTTTAATTTAATATTACAAATAAATCTTCCTCCTTTTTTAAAAAAAGAAAGAACAGTGCAGTCAATGTTAACATTTTCTAACAGCCACTTCAGTTATGTTCCCTTTCTCCATCCCCAGAGAAAATAACCTTTATGAGTTTGATATGAATCATTCTAATACATTTTTTAAGGTTTTGAATATATATGTGATTATCTAGACCAAAAACACAATGTTTGGAGGTTTCCGTCTTATATTTCTATAAGTGGCATTATGTGGAATTTATCATGTTACTTGGTTTTTCATTCAAAACTATACATTTGAGATTTATTTGTTGATATAAATCTAGTTAATTCAGTTTTATTTGCTATGCTATTTATCCCTTAAATGTACTACCTTTTTTACCTATTCCTTTATTGATGGACATTCAGGTTGTTTTAAAAATAAATAAGCATAGCCAGGATATTTTGAAAAATGAGGGTTATTGAACATATTAGATTTTATAGCATATAATAAAGCCTCACTAAGTAAAATAATACAGTATTAGTATGTTAAAAGATATACCATTGAAAGATATAGAGTTCAGAAATAACCCAAATATATGAGTGTTTAGCATATGATAAAAGTAGCATCTCAAATCTGTGAGCTATAGATAGACTTTTTAATAAATTGGTGTTGATCAATCTGGGTAGTCATTTGAAAAAGGTAATATTGCTTCATCCATACATCAATATAAATTCCAACTAGTCAACAATTCCCCACAGACAAGACAACAAAACTATTGTTGAACTTTGGAGTTTTACTAGCCTGATAGGTAAAATATGATCTGTGATTTTTATTTCTCTTATTATAAGCAAAGCTGTGTATCCTTTCATGTGAATAAGGATCTGTTAGTATCCTTTAATGATTATTTTTCTATTAGTTTTTTTGCCTTTTTTTCTCCCATTATTTATTTGGGAAATGAGCCCTTCGTCTTTGGTATGAGTTGTAATTATGTTCCCAGTTTGTCAGTTTTTTAAATCTACATATGTATTTTTTGCTATTCAGACTTTTTAACATTTTTGTGTAGCTGACTAATCAGTTTTTTAAAATTGCTTCTGGATTTTGTGTCAAAGTCAAAGACCATGCCTACTCCATGTACTACTGGTGTGAAAGCAAAATGATATAGTCCTTGTAGAGAAGAATCTGGCAATACCTACTACATTACAGATGTATTTACTCTTTGGCTCTCTGGTCCCATTTCTGGTATCTATCCTAAGGACATACTATACAAGAAGGAAATGGTATCCCTAAACGGTTATTCACTGTACCATCATTTAATATTAACAAATTATTGGAAAGATACTCTAATCTCCAGCACTGAGGGTTAACTAAAGTAAGTGTGGTTCACCCACATAAAAGAATACCATACACCTGTGGGGAAAAAAAAGAATGAGAACGTTTTTTATTTTTTTATTTTTATTTTTTGAGACAGAGTCTCGCTCTGTTGCCCAGACCGGAGTGCAGTGGCGCCATCTCGGCTCACTGCAACCTCTGCCTCCTGGGTTCATGCCATTCTCCTGCCTCAGCCTCCCGAGTAGCTGGGACTACAGGCACCTGCCACCACGCCCGGCTAATTTTTTTTTGTATTTTTTTTAGTAGATATAGGTTTTCACCACGTTATAGGATGGTCTCAATCTCCTGACCTCGTGATCCTCCCGCCTTGGCCTCCCAAAGTGCTGGGATTACAGGCGTGAGCCACCGTGCCCGGCCTGAACGTTCTTTATACTAACAACACAATATCTCATGGATCTTGGAAAAGCAAGGTACATTATGATACGTTTTGTATACGAAAATTTAAAATAATGTATATTTGAATAGAAAATAGTGGACAGATCCACGGAATTAATTAGTTACTTATAGAAGTCCTGGGGAAATAGGATGGTGGAGAGCAAGACAACATGACTTCTCAATGATTTTATGTGATTTTGTTTTTATAAAGTATTAGATATCTGTTCAAAAAAATTATTTTTAAAACAAAATATTCTTTAATGCGTGTTGATAATTTCACTGGAGATTATAAGTGATAAAGCATTCATGAAACAAAAAATATATACAGCAAAAAAATGTAACGGCAACAATTTAAAACAATATCCTCAGTAAAATACAGTATTTAGTGTATTAGGGCTAGCATTCCTGAAGTCTGATCTTTGTGTACGATGGCATGAAATGGGCAAACAAAACATCAAAATGGAAGTGAGCATAATTTTATATATATATATGTGTGTGTATTTTTGTTATTTAATCATATGTAATTTTAAACATGGTAATTGAAGTTAAAGATAGTTAAGATAATCATAAAGATTATCATAATGATTTGATGTTGGTGGCTAGCAGATGGGAAAAGTTACTTGAACTTCCAGATTTACAAAAGAGAAGTGAGCAATACAAAGAAACTTCATCAAGCCTGTAATATAAGGAGGGAAAAATAGGAAATGACTTTTAAAAAACTGTAAACATAAAATAATATTTTAAAATAAACTAAATATGTTATCATAAATATGAGTGAATTTAATTTCTTTATCAATAATTTGCAAAAATATATACCTGAAATGATTGAAAATAAAAATATGAATAAAAATATTTATGAAACTTCCAAGTTAAAAAAGAGAAACAATATTATAAAATAATATAGAAATGAAGACTAAAGATAAAAAGAAATACTATGTATTGGAAAAAAAAAGGTATAATCCATGAAGATAAAATAAAGGCCTTCGCACTGGCCAAAATAGAAAATATATCAAGTGAAATTTCCTAAAAATACGAAGAAATATTTTTTAAAACAAGATAATTGTGGGATGTTTTCTATACTTCTTTTAAAGTCTTATAAAATAGATTTGACAAGTAAATTATATATAGCAACGAACAAATAATCCTGTCAATAAGGGATTCTAATATCCATGAAAAACATCTGTTTTATGCTCATAAAGAAAAACTTAAGTAGAAATTTTACACGCTAAATTTCTGACTAGAATGTAATAAAACTAGAAAGAACAAAAAATGTTGGTTGATAGAATCTTAACTAAGGAATTAAGCAACATTCTTCAAATTATCTTCAGATCAAGAACAAAAAACAAAATTTCCCCAAAATATGGGCACAATATCAAAACACATGACATAAATAAAGGAAAAGGCAATTAGCTGTAAATGTCATTTTACAGAAACTGACTGACAATAAATGAACTAAAAAATTCAAAGAAAAGAAACAAAGAATGAGAGAATAGCTGTATAAGTAAAATTAATGAAAAATAATTTTTTCTAATAAAACAGCATTCTTATTTGCAAGAACTGGAAAAAAAATAGACACATTCGTGATAAGCCTCAGGGAATAAAAAGAGAAAACAAATTATTTTAGAAGTGAGAAAAAGATTTATAACCACAGATGGAGATGAGATTGCAAGAAGTGTAAGACAATATTTATTATGTCCAACCATGTTAATAATATTAGGTATCTAGATGAAATCAAGTGTTTTTCTAGCAAAATGTAAGTTGCAAAGTAAATACAGAAAGAGAAAACCGTAACAGCAATGCTTTAGAAGACAGCAGCAAGATGTTGAAGATCTGTTCTTTAAATAGGCCTCCATCTTAGGTAACAATAAAGATAATTCTGAATAATCTTCAAAGAACAGATAATTTCCAATGATATTAAAGTGTTTCTGTGTGTTTAAAAAATGGAAGATTCAATTCATTTTAGAAATCTAGAATAACAAATCTCCAAATGTGATAAACATAACAAGGAGAAAAAGGGAAAAAAATGTAGGCCTGTTTTATTTATCAATATACATTGGACAGTAAATAGAATAATAATATTCTCTAGTCTCTTAATAATGTTTTCCTTTACTCTTCCTCAGTCACATTGTGTACAACTCATTACTTAAATTTGTTCAGTTTCCAAAATCAGTGTTATGTATATTTTGACGAAGACTCTGAGCCTTCTTGAATAGACCTTGACCTTGGGCCCTGTCCTAAAGCCTACATTGCCCAGTGTTATTGCAAATCACACCTAGCCCAGTTTAGACAGCATCTGTTGCCCTTGATGTCTAATCACTCTGGCCTGCCTTCAGCAAGAATCTTTGTAGTCAGTTTAGCAAGAATCCCCCTACCCTTGATGTCTCCTTTTAGTAATTCTCCATGCACTGACTTCCTCACTCTGTTCCATGGGTATAAATCCCCACTTATCCTTGCTGTATTTGGAATTGAGCCCATTCTCTCTCCTCTAACATGATAGTCTTGCCACCTACCACAATAGCCCTAAATAAAGTCCTCCACTTTGTTAACAAGTGTCATGAACAATTTTTCCTTTAACAGTTATGGTACTGCTGTGACTCCGATGGTAGCAGATTCATCATTGGATTTCCAAACCTCTCACCCAGGACTCCAAGTGCACCCCTTTGAAGACTTTGTCTTCACTCCTGAATGATTGATTGGGGATCCATTGGTGAGTCTGACTCCTGAGCCAGTGCTCCAGATGACAGTCTGTTGAAGGATGGTGAGGATAGATTTTTTGATTTTTAAGCTTCTGTAAACTCTCTGAAGCTGGATTACAGTTTTAGATTTCTTTGTCTGAAAGGTCCCTTCTAGGCTTGAAATTTATTTCCTGTTCTTTCTTTCAAATGGGGATTCACTTATCAATCCTGGACTGAAAGTCTTTCTTCCTGGCTCTTTGTTTTGTGGGGAGATTCACTTCCTGAGTCCTAGGCTGGACATTTGTCTTGGCTTCTTATAAGGTCTCCTTGTGGTCTCCATTTGATTCTGCTTCTCTCCTGGGAGCTTTTCAGTTTACTAACCCCCGTCCCGTTTTTGAGCCCCTGGTAACTCTATACTCCACTAACTATGTCGGCTTCCTTTTTTGTTGGTGTGAATTTAACTAAGGATAATTTGGAACATCAGTGGCCTCTTTGGGAAACTTCAAATCTCTGCACACTGGCTCCTCTAAGACCCCTCCCTTCCCATCATCTTTGCTCCTCCTTCCTCCTTATACCACCTTTGATCTTCCCTTCAGTTCCCTTGATATGTCCACCTTCAACCCCCTACCTCCTTCATCCTTCTGTTCACACCAGCCTCTACAGTTACTAGAACTTTAGATCCCCTGCCCCCATTAGAGGCTTTCAAGAAACTCAGGAACCCTCAGAAGCAACTACCTGAGACTAAAAAGGAAAAATAACAAATTGGAAAGAGACTAGATATTTGATCTACCCAGATAGGCTTTGGAAATATCTAAACAACTATTTGATTTTCCCACAGTCTTTCACCTAAAAAGTAGTTCACAGTGTCTGTGAGATTACATATCAAGACAAAGAAAGCCTTAAAGGCTTTTCCATAAATAATGGTAAAAAGCATTAGCCCTCATATTGAGTAGATCACCTTAACTTGTTACTTCTGTTAAAAACATAATTCCAAGTATTTTATATAAATCAGTGAGTTTTCTATTATTGTGTTTCACTTGACTTGTGGCTAAAATTTTAGAATGGACTATAAGATCTCTATATATGTCTCTCTCTGTGTGTGTATACATATGTGTGTTATGTATATGTGATATTTTCTTACCTTGAGATCGTATTACAAATTTAATTTATAAAATCTCTTAAAGGAGGTCTACTAAAATTGCCTTAGAGCTCAACAAGTCTTATATAAATTAAACATTCCTCAAACTCTCAGAAAAATACAAACTAATCCACATTCTTTTCAGATTCACTTGACTTGGGTGAATCTTTGCCAAATAAGACTGGTTTAGTAATGTTGGTTTAATAAAACACAGCTGTGTCTTCTGAATTATCAGAATTAATTATCATACAAGCATATATTTTTATTCTACTTGGGTTTACTAAGTCAAATAAACTTGTGATAGCTACTAGATATTTAAGATTATAAAAATTATAAATTCAGCCTAAGAACACATGTACAAATAAAGATGTAGTAAAAATGAATTTCTTGATATCTATTACTTTATATGTATCAAGTGAAACAATAAAACAACAAATGTGTATTTAACCCTTTTTAGTTTTTTTGCTGTTGTTATTCTTTTATATTTACCTAACATGCATGTGCCATAAGAATAGTTAACAAGGAAATAACTTGAGATGCTAGGTAGCTTTGTTTAGTGTTATGTCTTACTAAAAATAATTTCCAAAATCTTTTTAGTAACTTATAGTCTTAAAGTTATGTTAGATTAAATTAATAGATATTCATTGATAATTTCTAAGTAAGATAAACTGCTAAAACATACATTTTTAAACATAAGTTTAAGTTTACACACTTTTAGTTTTTAATACTATGAAGCAGAAAATACCTATAAAAGCTAGTGAGATGGTATATTCATAAAATTTGCTAGTCTACTATAGAATGCTGGTATGTGACAAATAATTCACAGTAATTTACTTCCTAGTTTTTCTCTGTGAAATCAACGGCACTAATGTATACAAACACTTTGTATGAAAAGTTTACAAGGAATGTAGGATATGTTTTTGTCAAGAGAAGGAGAAAGTAATTTTGTCTTAAAATAAAATGACTGGTCAAGATGAGAAAGAAGAAAATTTAGGACAATATATGTGGCAGACTGCCACGATTACTGCTTGAGACCATCACTACAACAGTTACTACTGTTACTGCTTGAGACCGTCATTACAAGACTGAACAGAGGACAAACGCAGAAGTGAAAACTTAAAAGAAACTGTTTTGAAGGAAGGGTAACATGGGGAAGAAGAAGAGGGCTCCCTGCCTCTAGTGAGCAAGGGCAGCCACCCTGAGCTTCCACAGCCCTTTGTATTTATTGGGTAGAATGAGCAGGGAGGAAGAGGTAACAATTGGTCAGCTGAGTAATTGATCACAGGTTCAAATTATTACTAATAGGCTTCAGATGTACCTAATCACAAAAAACACTTATGCCTGGGTCATGACTGCCCTCAGCATTCTTTCTGGGCAGCAGACGCAGTTTGTCAGTTTGCCAGTTTGCCAGCAACCCACTTTCATGAGAACAGTTTGCAGTTTACTCATATAGCCTCTAGTGGTTATATGAGTTGATCATGTCCCTCACTCTTTCGGCCTTCAACAAATATAGAAATATGGATATAGAAAGTTTGAAAAGTCTTGTGAAAAGAAAAATTTATGTTGCATGGTCAAAGCTGGCTAAGACCAAATGGTTTTATTTATAATGGTTTTTTAGAAAACCTTAAATGACATTTAAAATTAAAAGTACACTGATGCAAAACTAGAATTTGATTTTTTCTCTGTAAAAATGACAACATTTACTTAGGTTACTGGTCTGCTCTTAATAAGAAATTGTCAAAAGTTTTTTTTTTTTTTGCTTTTAAAGTAATCGACTTAGAATAAAAAGATTGTGTATCTTAAAATAATTTCCTGTGCTTTATATCAACTTTATTATTTTCCTGATTATTTAAGAAAACCAAGTATTCTCACTTTTAAAAGAGCTAAGGTCTTTTTTTAAAAAAAAATTATGTTACCCCCATAGTTACTTTTGAAATCTTTTGTCATATTGGTTAAATAGATTGCTTAAGTATTGTTTCATAGCTGTCTAAGATCTTATTTAGTCAACTGTTCAAAACTTTCGAAATTTTTTATGACATTGCTTTTCCAAGATCAAATTCTAAATGAAACCTTAATTTTGAACTGAACTTGAAATTTCCCAGAACCATAGACTATCTCAAAGAATTTTTTCCTTTACTTTGTTTTTTTAAAAAAGTTAAAACTAATTAGACTTATTTAATAGGTTAAATTGCATGAAATGCATTGTCAAATAAGAAGAGAGGTGTTGGGCATGGTGGCTCATACCTGTAATCCCAACACTTTGGGAGGCTGAGGTGGGAGGATCACTTGAGCCCAGGAGTTTGTGACCAGCTTTGGCAATATGGTGACACCCTGTCTCTACCAAAAAATAAAAGAATTAGCTGGGTGCGGTGGTGCACACCTGTAATCCCAGCTACTAGGGAGGCTAACAAAGGAGGATCAGTTGAGCCCGGGAGTTTGAGGCTACATTGAGCCACAATCACACTACTGCATTCTAGCCTGGGCAACAGAGCAAGTCCCTATCTCAAAAAAAAAAAAAAAAAGAGAGAGAGAGAGAAAGAGAGAGAGAGATGCAAATACGAGAGGGGCCTGACAAAGACTCTCTCTCTACTTAACCAAACTTTAGTCAGACTTTCCTGAGCCCTCTCTGGCTAGGCCTGGGATTTAGGCCCTGTCCTATGGCCTGCATCACCCAGTTTTCACAAAAGTCCCACCTAGCCCAGTTTAAGGAGAGTCTCCCACACTCAATATCTGATTACTCTGAATATCATCTGATCAAAATCTTCATCCCCTCCCCTTGAGCTCTACCTGGCCTGACCTGACTACACTGGCCTGTCTTCAGCAAGAATCCTGTTAGATCAATGTAGCAAGAACCCCCTCAAACTTGATGTCTCCTCATAATAATTTTTTATTCATTGACCCCCTCATCCTACTCCATGGCTATAAATCCCCACTTATCCTTGCTGTGTTTGGAGTTGAGCCTCAAATGTCTCCCCTGTTGCAAGTCTTCTAAAGCCTTCATTACTGTGTTAACAAGTGTCATGAATATTTTTTTCTTCAATAATGAAATTTTTCATCTGCAACTTTATATCCTTCAGCTTATTCATTGAGATATTCCCATGTATTGAATGGATGAATAAATAAATGAATGTGTAAAAGCACAAAGGGAAAATTAAAAGACAGAGAGAATAAAATGCAAAGTTCCTAAATCTTACAAGTGGTGTGGAACTATAAAACAAAATAAAGGGGAGAAAATTAAGAAATAACAGAAGCAAATTTTCTAGAGCTGAGGAGAGACATAAGTTTTTAGATTAAGATAAATGTCAGGGAAAATTGTGAAATACAATATTTTGTGCACTGTTTATCTTACACATAGAAATTATCTTTTCTATAATTGTCTTTGAGCTAGGCAATTTACAATTTTTAAATTGTAGAAAAGTAATTGTAATGTAACTAATTTTGCTCATAGAAATGCAAATTCATTGTGTCTGATGAAATGTAATTGACTATTTCCCTGTGGATAAGACCTAGTTTTTGCATTTATTTGTGAATGGATTTCAGCACTTCTTGACAGCATGTAACCTTGAGAATTCTTTGGATTTTTCTTGAACAAGCTATAATATCTTAGTAGTTCCCTCATTAATTAATCACTTAAAATCATTGACACATGTATGAGAGTTTATGATTATACCTTCCTTTTAAAATTATTTTTTAATGGAGTCCACCAAATGCTAAGCCCAATTAATGAGAAAAGGCCCATACCTAGACATATTCCAGGGAAATATATTGAAATAAAATCTTAAAATCTTCCTGTTACCTATAAGAGAGTACAAATTAGAGTATGGATTCAGCTTTTCTAGCTAAACAAAGAGTAATGGCTAACAAAAATTTTTTGCCTTCTCAAAGCACATTTATCAACCTTGTCTTGACATATTTCATTAAATATCTCATTAACTGCTTCTTGAAACTTTAACCTCTCTTTTCAATTATGATTTTTATTCATAGTTGAATAAAAGAATTTGGAGCTCTTACAATTTATTTGCACATAGTCATGAGAAGTAAAATGCTTATAAACTTAGAGTTGGGAATTAGATTTCATGGGTTTAAATCCAGGCTCCACAATTTTACTGTCTATGAGACATTTAATACATTTAAACTACTTAACCTCTTTGTGTTTTAGTTACTTCCTCTGGGAAAACAGAAATAATAATAATAATAATGCATACCTCCTAGGGTTATTGGAACATTCAGTGAGATAATACATAAAATACACTTAAAATAGTGACTGCTATGTAGTAAGAATGAGGTATGTGAAGTATATGCATAATAAATCAGGTTGAAGTGTAGTCCATGGGACATTGTTTGCAAATAGGAAACAATCTAAAGGTCTATTAATGGTGAAATGGTTACATTTATTATAGGTATCCGTGCTGCGGAATACTATGCAGACCATGTAAAAATTAAGCAAATCTAGTTATGTTAATATGGAACTCTTTCTCTACATGCAAACTGAAAGTTAAAGGCCAATAATATTATATATGATATGATCACAATAGTGCAAGGGAAAAAAATCACAAAATACCCATTTAAAACAGCCAAACTTATAGTTAAATGTGTGTATATGTTTGTAGATACAGAGATAGAGAGATGTATAAACAGGCAATTTTTTTAATAGTGGTTACCTTAGGGGAAGGGAAGTAGTAGGGAGATATTCTAAAGGTCTGATATGTTTATTTTCTATGTTGTATATATGTGTAATCTATGGGATTCACTAAGAAAACTCTAAGGCAAGCTTGTTCAATCTGTGGCCTTCAGGCTGCATGAGGCCCAGGACAACTTTGAATGCAGCCCAACACACATTTGTAAACTTTCTTAAAAGGTTATGAATTCTTCTGCGATTTTTTTTTTACTAGGTCATCAGCTATTCTTAGTGTTAGTGTATTTTATGTGTGGCCTAAGACAATTCTTCTTCCAATGTGGACCAGGGAAGCCAAAATGTTGGACACTCCTGCTCTAAGGAAGTATGAGTATTGATTTTCAGATGTTTACTTTCTGATACACTGTAACATATGTATTTAGTATTTTTGGTTTCACCACTATTTTGTTGATTTTTCTAGTGTGTGGTTTTTGTTCTTGTCCTTCACTAACAGTTAATTTAATGAGTCTCTAAATGATGATAAAAGCACACATTTCTGGTTATTTCCAGATAGCTAGCCAGGGAACAGCATCTTATGCTATTTTCTCATATTTCTGCAACAAACTTTATATGTGCCTTATTTGTTAACACTCACCAACTACTACCATGTGTTAAAAGATTTTTTTTGGGTGTGTGTGTATATATATATATACACACACACATATATATATTCTCTGTCTTCTCTTATTCTCTAATCTTATATATATATATAGGATCTTATATATATAATATATATGTAATCTGATATATATATAAGGTATATATCTAATCCGATATATATATAAGATGTATATCTAATCCGATATATATAAGATGTATATCTAATCCGATATATATAAGATGTATATCTAATCTGATATATATAAGATGTATATCTAATCTGATATATATAAGATGTATATCTAATCCGATATATATATAAGATGTATATCTAATCCGATATATATGATGTTTATCTAATCCAATATATATAAGATTTATATCTAATCCAATATATATAAGATGTATATCTAATCAGATATATAAAAATATACATAATTCTAATAAAGCAATGTGAGGACAAAATTTATGCTGACTTAGCATTTTATTCTTGACAATATGATATTTTGCATATAATCATTACTTAATAAATACCTCTTAATATTTTAGATTGTTGTATTTCTGTGTACAAAAAGGCATGAGTTTAAAAATATATACTCTGAGCAGACTATAGGTAAGTGTATTACATACTTCTGAACAGACTACATGTAAGAGTATTATCATTTCCATCATCTAGCATTCTAATATTTTAATTACAAATATATACATAGTCCTTTGTCTCAGGAAATGGTCATTTCATTTTTTATTATCCCATGGAAGTTTTTCCCAGCAGAAATTTCTCAACCAAGATGCACAAGTACAAAGTTAGAATTGTTTCCTTTAAATCTAATGATAACTCAAGAAAAAATATTTTAGACTACAAAAAAAAACTTATTTTGTTCTCTTTGCTTTTTGAATATTTTTCAGACTTGGGATGTAGCTTTATCACGGACTGCTAGAGCATGGGGAAAAAAATGTTTGTTTACGCATAATATTTATTTACAAGATGTACAAATGGTCCATCCTAAATTTTATGGTATTGGTGAAAATATGTGGGTCGGCCCTGAAAATGAATTTACTGCAAGTATTGCTATCAGAAGTTGGCATGCAGAGAAGAAAATGTACAATTTTGAAAATGGCAGTTGCTCTGGAGACTGTTCTAATTATATTCAGGTATGTAATTTTTATTTTGTTATTAATTCAAACACTTCTTAATTGATTTATGCCTGGTTTTATTATGTTTCAAATTTGTACATAAACTCAAATAATAAAATTATCACATTTAATAAGATCACAATTTTAATCAATCTTCCTAGTCTTCAAAATGTCTACCATCCCATCTTTTATATGAACCATACAATTAAAACATTATTTTAAATATAGTAAACCTAATCTCCATGTTCAAAGATGAAAGGCACTTTCCTAAAAATAATGTACACTGGAAAAGGAGGAAAGAAACCAGTAAATAAAAATACTTTATAAATGATTGACTATAAACATATGTAGAATATGCTTTTGGACATATCAGTACACATACTACTGTATAGCTGATTGTTTAAAACATTTGAAATGCAAATTAATAGTATTATTTCCCTGCCTCTGGTTCAATAATCCACCCTCACACTTTATACTCCAGGAATATTGAAGCACTTTTCATTTCAAGTACATAACCTTTGTTATTTTATACATCACATTGTTTAACAATAATTTATTTATATGTCTGATACTACACTGAGGGCAGGGACCTTACCTTTTCATCCATATATTCTCAACATAACAACACGACGTTATTTAGGTCTGCAATAAATATTTGTTTCAGGAATCAAGAAATTATTGCATGAACTCCCACATTTACTTAAAAGTTATTCAATCAATAGACCCTGATGTCACGTTTTATGTAGAACTTAATACTTTGGAATTTGTTCATGTTGAACTCATGTCTTTCTCTTTCATCCAATCATACTTCAAAAATTTTTTCATCAGTTTTTTTTTTCTGATCATTTCTTTCTTCTAGAAAGTTACAGTGATTCTCCATTGACTTGCTCCTATCAAACCTAGCCTCTTTAATATGACTTTAATACTCAATAAACTAACCAAATCTACTCCCTAACATAGTACTCTGTGTTTTTACTCCTTAATTCTAGTCTCCTAGACCTTTTCGTTTCCTGCATTTGACATGCTTAACTTCACTTTAACTCTTGCAGATACTCTATTCTTTATTCTTTTAATGTATCACCTTTTTAATGTGTCTCTTTATTTCTTTAAGAATCACACTTTTAAAACCACTAAGGCTTGAGATAAAAGAATGAAACAAGAATGGTTCCTCTTTCTTGCACAGAGGTTAACAAAACAAAACAGTACTTTTTGGTTCACTTGGAAGTATTAGAAATATTAAAGTTTTACAGATAATTTCTGGAATGCCTTTGATTATTCCCATCTTTTTCACTCCAATTCAAGATCTGTTTCTCTTTTGTAGGAACCAGCTCTTTTATTTCATTTTTTAATGAAAAGGCCAGATTTTGTTTTATCCTACAATAGAATTTTCTTAACAAAGAGAAGGAGAAATGCCAATAGCATTCAATACTTCTCTACTCTTGTATCATTTTTACTTTTCTATAATTGGATTGTCTCTCTTTTTCTCCCTTTTTTCCACAACTTCCATCTTTTAAAAACTTTTTCTCCTCTTTCTCATCTTCCTCTCTTCCAATAACCTAGAACTTTCCAATTCAACCAGAGGTTGAAAATTGATTCATCAGGCATGACGTCCTTTGGCTCTGAAGCATTATTCTGGATCAACCGTGTTCTCAAACAGTTCTTACAAGCTAAAATTGACAAATGGGATCTAATTAAACTAAAAAGCTTCTGCACAGCAAAAGAAACTACCATCAGAGTGAACAGGCAACCTACAAAATGGGGGAAAATTTTCACAACCTACACATCTGACAAAGGGCTAATATCCAGAATCTACAATGAACTCAAACAAATTTACAAGAAAAAAACAAACAACCCCATCCAAAAGTGGGCAAAGGATATGAACAGACACTTCTCAAAAGAAGACATTTATGCAGCCAAAAAACACATGAAAAAATGCTCATCATCACTGGCCGTCAGAGAAATGCAAATCAAAACCACAATGAGATACCATCTCACACCAGTTAGAATGGCGATCATTAAAAAGTCAGGAAACAACAGGTGCTGGAGAGGATGTGGAGAAATAGGAACACTTTTACACTGTTGGTGGGACTGTAAACTAGTTCAACCCTTGTGGAAGTCAGTGTGGCGATTCCTCAGGGATCTAGAACTAGAAATACCATTTGACCCAGCCATCCCATTACTGGGTATATACCCAAAGGATTATAAATCATGCAGCTATAAAGACACATGCACACGTATGTTTATTGTGGCACTATTCACAATAGCAAAGACTTGGAACCAACCCAAATGTCCAACAACGATAGACTGGATTAAGAAAATGTGGCACATATACACCATGGAATACTATGCAGCCATAAAAAATGATGAGTTCATGTCCTTTGTAGGGACATGGATGAAACTGGAAACCATGATTCTCAGCAAACTATCGCAAGGACAAAAAACCAAACACCGCATGTTCTCACTCATAGGTGGGAATTGAACAATAAGAACACATGGACACAGGAAGGGGAACATCACACTCCGGGGCCTGTTGTGGGGTGGGGGGAAGGGGGAGGGATAGCATTAGGAGATATACCTAATGCTAAATGATGAGTTAATGGGTGCAGCACACCAACATGGCACATGTATACATATGTAACAAACCTGCACATTGTGCACATGTACCCTAAAACTTAAAGTATAATAATAATAAAATAAAATTAAAAAAAAAAGAATATGTTATTGGTAGAACCTATTGAAGTATTTATCTAAATATAGTGTTGAAAATGCTGCCCGAACTCCTTGGTAACTCTCTACATGTCTCTAAATGAAAATAGTTTATATTTCTTGAATTGCTTGGTGAAAAGTTCTATGTGAATGGAATATATTATTGTTTATAATATGAAAGTCAATGTTTAAAATTAAATTTTGTGTCTTTCTTGAAAATTTTATTTTAGCTTGTTTGGGACCACTCTTACAAAGTTGGTTGTGCTGTTACTCCATGTTCAAAAATTGGACATATTATACATGCAGCAATTTTCATATGCAACTATGCGCCAGGGTAAGTTACTTAAAATTAATAAAAGAATATAAAAATCAGAATATTTCAAGGTGAGTTTTTCTAACTTTTAATATATTTTTATAAGTGTTTTTGAACTATAAAATAAATATACTTTACATTGAAATATTTTCAATCAATTTTATAATGAAATAAGTCTTAAATTGGACATATTGATTGTACTTATACACTAGCCAAATATTACTTCCTGGAGTAACCTTCACTTTAGTATTATTTCACAATATTTCACTTAATTAGCATAAGACAAATTATTTTCCAAAATAGTTTATTCTAAAATTTATAGTAAAAGTAGAAAGAAAATTAGATGTGTTGAAATTTATTTAGTAAGAATTGTTTCATGAATATGTCAGTTTTGTAACATGAAGAACACTTTTAATTGACCACCTCTTGGAGATTACATTATTAACTGGGACCTGTCTTATATGTATAAGGAATTGTAACATCTCAGAGATTGAAAAGCACTTCAAACATCTTTTAGTCAAGCTATTCATATATGACTATACCATATACCTGGGTGCCTTCAAATGGTGGAAAATAACTGCATCTCAAAATAGCTTCCATTTCTTGAGAGCTCTTTTGGAAAGTTCCAAGTTTCTTACAGGTCAATATAATACTATAAATAATATTATTATAACTTCCAAATAAGTTAGAAAATGTTTGAATTAACATCTTAAATAAACAGTAAGAATTGACTGCCTACCAAGATTGAGAAGGAATTTCTGCCAAATAAAATGCTTTGGGACTAAACCAGACAGAAAAATTTAAAAAGCAGTGATTACTGATTGTATTCCCCTGGCTAAGAAAAACAAAAGAACTATGCTGTGCATCAAATTAAACTCAGAAAGCTCTTTCCTGATGAGAAGTCTTGCTAACTTTGAATATAGACATGCAAAATAAGTTTGGAATATAGAGTTGCAAAACATTTTAGGTGTCCTTTCACTCCTACAGACTGGAAGCATTGGGATACCTATTACATGCAGAAACTTTAAAAATTACTACTGATTGGTCTTGCAGATTCAAATGGAATTGTACACTGGGGAGGAGGGGGTTGGTAGAGGTTTTTCTGGGGCACAAATCCTCATTTATTCACTCAGCAAGTATGTACAGGCTCTGTTTTTTCTGCTAACAAGACGCAAAAAGACACCACATTGAGTTTATAGTCTTGGCAGGGAGACAAACACTTTTTAGTAAGTGAACACATAGATAAATAACATTTTAATTAGACAATAAAATATACTGTAAAAAGCAACACTAGTAAATAGAGAATGACTGGTCTAGAAGACAGATAGGGTAGTCATAGAAGAAGGGTGTCATTTGAGCTGAAAACCAGATGTTCCAGGTAGAAGTATGTTCCAGATAGGAACATGTATAAAAATCTCAGAGATTGGAATGAGTTTAACATGTCAGAGAAAGGAATAACTGTGGTTAGATGTAGGAGTTGAGGTGGAGAGTTAGATAACAGCTAGACCAAATATAATAACATACATTATGTTAAAGATTTTGGAATTTATCCTAAGTAATGACAAAGCCATTGGAAGGTCTTAAGCACAGAGTGACATGATCTCATTTTTGTTTTGAAAAGAACACCTTAACAAAAAGATTACTGTGGCTGTTGGTAGAGAATGAAATATAAGGAAACGAGTGTAAAGAGGAAGTACAATTAGGAGGCTGTTGCCTGTAGTACAGGCTACAGACTGATATTTTGGATTAGGGTTTTAGCATGTGGATTGTTTATCAAGTTGGATAATGAATTACCACAAATGTAGTGATTTAAAGCAGCAACATTTATTATCAAACAGTTCTATAGGTCATGAACCCAGGCATATTGTGGCAGGATTGTCTTCCCAGGGTCTCAAAGGCCAAAATCCAGATGTTGACTAAGTATTCACTTGGAGGATTGGCGAAGTACCTGCTTCCAAGCTCATTCAGGCTGTGAGCAGAATTTAGCTCTGTATGGTGATGGGACTCTTGTCCTTGTTTTCTTGCTGGCTCTGAGCCATGTGTTGTCTCTTCTTCTGGAGCTGCCCATGTTTCTTTGACACATGGCCCCACCATCTTCAAGTCAGCCAAGGTATGTCAGAGCATTTTCATGTTTCAAATCTCTGTCTCCTCTTCTGTGACCAGCTAAAGAAAACTCTCTGCTTTTAAAACACCCATAGGATGAGTCAAGGCCAACCTAGATAATGTCAATATTTTAAGGTCAGTGGTGCCTTATAATATAATTATGGAAGTAAAATTCATCATATTCACTCTCCTGAGAATTATGCATGGCATGTACCTGAGGAGTGGAGGATCTTGTGATTCATCTTAGAATTCTGCCTACCATAGAATGGAAATGGTGAGGAAAGGTCAGTTTCTGGGTATATTATGAAGGTGGAGCTAATAATACAAGCCGATTGGCTTGAGTTTAGGGATAAATTGAATAAAATAATCAAGCAACACTATGCCTATGTGTTTAGTCTAAAAAACTGGGTGGATGGTGATTTCATTAACTTAGAGAAGATCAAAAGATATGTTTTCTATTTGGGTATATTAGATAGAAAAATAAATGTAGGAAATGTGAATGAATCATGAGAAGCAGATAGCCATATGAAAGTATGTGGTTGTTTTCTAAGTAGACGAAGCTTCTGGTATAAAGGCCCTGAAGTGGAAGTCACAGTGAATTAGATCAGCATGTGGGAGAGTGAATATGGAGACAATTTAAGAACTAAGTCCTGGGGCACTACGCTATTTTAAACTAAGGCAAAAGAGCTAGTAAAGGAGAATGAAGAGAGGTTAATGAGGTATGAGGGAAACCAAAAACCTGCTGGTAAGGTACTTGGAAGTCAAGTGAAGAACATGAGCTAAGAAGCCCAAACTGGTTAACTCTATGAGACGCTGCTGAGAGAATGAGAAATTGAGGAAGGAGAACTGACAGTTCCATTAGATGAGATGAAGGTATTTGGTGACCTTAATAAGAATAGTGAGTACAGGGGTCTCAGATGACTACAGTGATAAGATGAAGCTACCAGTTGTTGAAATTACCCTTTTTTTCTTGCTACTCTCTTATTGCACAAGCTTCTTTGTCTTGAAATTTGTTAACCATTTTTCCTTTGATACAAATATTGGCAAGTCTACCTTGAAGGATCTAGATTGGAACAGTTATCAGTCAACTCAGTCCAATTCTTATTTGATTATGTACCTAAAATAGGCAATCACATTATCTCTCTTAAGGATAGTTGGTAGAAAAATCAATCCATTACAATATTATAAAATACTGGGTAGAAATGAATGTAAAATAACAAAATTGAAAATTAAAAGGTATAGTGGGATGAATGGTGCCCCCCCTACCAACGTTATGTTTAGGTCCTAATTTCCAGAACCTGTCAATATTACTTAAATGGCAAAAGTGTGAATATTACCTAATATGGCAAAGATGTGGTTAATATAAGGATCTTGAGAGGAGCTTATTCTAGATTATTTGGGTGAGGGCTAAATGCAATCACATGTATACTTGTAAGAGATGGAGAGGAGGATTCAGCATAAGACACACAGAAGAGGAGGCAGTGTGACCACAGCAGAAGCAGCTACAGTGATGCATCCACAAGCCAAGGAGCTAAGGCCACCAGAAGCTGGAAAAATCAAGGAACAGATTCTTAAGAGCCTTTGAAGGGAACACAGCCCTGCCAACACCTTGATTTTGGACTTTGGGCCTCCAGAACAGTGAGAGAATAAATTAATGTTGTTTTAGCCACCGAATTTGTGGTAATTTGTTAATATAGTTACAGAAAATTAATGCAGAATGGAAGAATAAAACAGACTTGGCCATGCATACTGAAAATAACAAGTCAAAGCAACCTTGAAAATTTTTCTCAGAAACACAAAGGTGAAGAATAGAGGTCAAAATATATATGAAAAAATAAAGGAAATATGTATGGCATATAAATCTACAAATTGGTGTTTCTAAAGAATAGAGAAGAGCCAAGGAAAGAGAAATAATAAAGAAAAGAAAATGTTCCTAATCTACAAAGATATCTGTATAAAGATTAGAATACTTTATAATGTATCAGAAAAAAACTGAAACTATATTACATATAATTATTTACTAGTCCTTATTTTTCATTTTCAAAGATAAAAACTCACACATTTTAAGTACAATTTTAAAAAGTAAAATAAAACAATATTAATTCGATTACTCTAAAACTTAAATATTAGAAAGGACACAAGGATGACCATAAGAATTTATGCTTCATTGATAGGTAATGTTATTAACTGACCTAGGAAAATATATAGAGTGGAGGGAAAATAACTTTTATTTTTAGGCATGTTGGATCTGCAGTTGACTACAAGACCTTTCATTTAGTTAAATATAATTTTGTTGTAAGTGTGCCAAAGACATTGCACATTACATTTTATGTAATGTAATTTATAAATATTTCCGCTTATTGTGTTATATAGATGAGGGTCAATAAGTAGATCCAAATCCATATGTAATGATTGTGATAAAGTTGGCGTTTAAAATCACTGGTTAAAGTATTTAAGTAATGGAATTAGGAGAGCCTACTGGCTGGATAAAAGTAAAACTGAGTTTTTCACTCATCTTAGAGGATTAAATTTCTAATACATAAAAGACTTAAACATTAAAAAGTGAAGTCATGAAAGCTATATTAGTGAATTTACTTACAATTTGGAAGGTATAAGGACTTACCTATCAGAACATTAAAGTCCAGAAACTATAAAGGAACACATGTATGAATCTGAGTATAGAAAAAATTATTTATTAAATAGAGAATCCTTTCCCCATTGCTTGTTTATGTCAGGTTTTTCAAATATCAGATGGTTGTAGATATGTGGCGTTATTCCTGAGGCCTCTGTTCTGTCCCATTGTAGTAATAGTTTGAAGTCGGGTAACGTGATGCCTCCAGCTTTGTTCTTTTTGCTTAGGATTGTCTTGGCTATTCGGGCTCTTTTTAGTTCCATATGAAATTTAAAGTAGTTTTTTCCAGTTCTGTGAAGAAAGTCAGTAGTAGCTTGATGGGGATAGCATTGAATCTATAAATTGCTTTGGGCAGTATGGCCATTTTCATGATATTGTTTCTCCCTATCCATGAGTTTGGAATGTTTTCCCATTTGTTTGTGTCCTCTTTTATTCATGTCCTTTGCAGGGACATGGATGAAGCTGGAAACCATCATTCTCAGCAAACTAACACAAGAACAGAAAACCAAACACCACATGTTCTCACTCATAAGTGGGAGTTGAACAATGAGAACACATGGACACAGGGAGGGGAACATCACACACTGGGGCCTGTCGGGGTGGGGTGCGAGGGGAGGGATAGCATTAGGAGAAATACCTAATGTAGATGGTGGGTTGATGGGTGCAGCAAACAACCATGGCACATGTATACCTATGTAACAAACCTGCATGTTCTGCACATGTACCCGAGAATTTAAAGTATAATTTTAAAAATTAAATGAATAAAAGAAGAGACAATAGAATGGATAGGGAGAAAATAGGAGAGAAAATAGACATGACACCTCAGTGAAATTAATGAAGCAGTGTGGCAGGAGTAAATAAGTTAGCACCCTGGAAGGAGGATAGGAGGTTATAGCCAGTGAGTGAAATGTCTGATTTTGTGAGTTCAGAGGTGGAGCTGTTTTAAGAGGTAACAGGATCCAGAATGTAGCTATAAAAGTGACAACTATGGAGAATTGGGAAGCATTTTGGTAGTAAAGACATCTAGTAATGGAAAACCCAAGTTATTGGATGAATTATCCATATGAATGTTGTGATCAAATAGGTACCAACTTCTGAGAAAATGAAAAACGATTGACTAAAAATGATGTTTCAGGTGCCAAAGTCTTCAGTGAATAAGGAGGCATGATCTGAAGGTAAATATCTCTCTCAAGGAGGATTAGAGGATGGCACAGCTAAATAATATCAACCTTAAAGGAGCTTTAACTGTTTAACTGTTTTAACTGTTTAACTGTGTTCCACAGTCCTTTAGGTGCAGGATATGTTAAGTGAAGGGAGGAGACCCAGCCAACAAAGTTTTACAGAAAGTGATATAAATAAAATAGCTTTGCACATACAGGGATAATTTGAGACAGAAAAACAACAGAGTTCATACTTTCGTTGACCTTGAATAGGCCCAGGAAGTAGTCATGGAATTTTTGGCAAAGACAAATATATTAGATGTTGCAGAAAGACAGCCAGATGGGATCTCTATTATAGTTTATCTTCCTTGCTGCTGCCTACACTGTATTTCTCTTAAACTTATTGGAATAGATTCTTCTTGGAAAAAAGTAAGTCTTCTTGGAAAACCCATAGATCTTCCAGAAACAAACTAGAAGTCAGTGTTGTGATACATAAGAAGTAGTGAAAAATGAAACGAGTTGTAAGTAGTCTAGTTGTTCTGGCTGTATGAGATGGAAAAATCGACATCTGTTTCATGTGCTTTGGCTCTTGTTCTGTGAATAATGTACAGACTATGTGAGTCTGGATGGAGAACTTTGAAGAATCTGCCTACAAATTGTAATTGCTAGGTTGTCAAGCTATGGGCTGGATTACCTCCTTGATGAACAAGATGGTGGCAGATACGAGTCTAGTGTAGGCAAAGAAAGTTTCTACAACCACCAGAATTGTGCTCTCATTTTGAAAGACTGTGTATCTATATCAAAGTTTGAATAATGGCCTTCTAATGAACTTGGGGTTGGAAATGGGTACACTTCTCTGTTAGGCCGCCCAGGTAACATGTCCTTATCTAGGATCTGGACACATGCTCTATAGGTAGCATTGTACTGAGGCTATGGCCAGATAGAGGCTAAGAAAAGTTCTAGAAGACTATGTTCAAGAGTCTTGACTTGGTCTTGGTGAACCACTGGTCTGCTTCTTAGAAAATGCAAATTTTCTAAGGCACTGCCAGGGCAGCTGTGAAATTTCAGTGGACTTTGCTGCTTATAGATAGTTACCTATTATTTCCTCCTAATCTGGCCCAATAATTCCAATTGAAGTTGGGAGTTGTGTTGTGGATTCAGACTCAAGTTAATTTAGGTTCACTTTCTTAGAAACTCAGAACTAGAGGAAGATTAACATAGGGGAGGGTATTAGCCTGACATTTCTGGCTGTCTAATAGAAATAATGATTATAAAACTCAAATCTTTGAAAGAGGGGACTCATTGTAGTCTACCACAGTGTGGATTTATTTATTTTCAGTTTTATGTATGTATGTATGCATTATTATATTTGTTTATTTGCCTTCCCACAGTTTTTCCACACTACAGATATCAGACATTATGATCTTGGGGTGATGGGACTATGCTCTAGTTCTCAAAGGCAGTTTTTATAGTGAGTAGCTTTTTACTTAGGTATAAGGACAGAGGTCCCCCATCCTTGGGACCTTAGGAGACAATACATCTGCTTTTGTGTTGGAGGCATCTGTTTTGGTGAAAAGGGGTTGGGACAGGAAAAATAGACCAGGGTGTAGCTAAAGGTGACTAGATCAACTCTTGAGTTTCTGCTCTGGCTGGGTTCTAAACAAAATGCATTTCTTTCTTGAAATAGTTGGATAATAGAACAGTGAAATTGAAGAAGTGATATATGATCTACAAATAACCACAAACCTCTGGATGTTCCTGATAGACTTGAATGCTTACAATTCAAGGGTATCAGATGCCTTATTGGGTATCACCCAAACTCTCTGATTAAATAAGATATATCTGAGAAATGTGATACTCAGGTTTTTGAATATATATTTCTTAGGCTTGGCCATTCTTCTAGAAGGCCTAACCAAGGACTTAAATAATGAATGTTTGTTTTTATAGCTCCCAATTATATACCAGGTAAATAGGCAATACTGATTAAATTACCAGGATTAATGATGCTGCCCCCACTCAAATGTATCTTTTCCCTACTTGTTTTTTCTACCTTTCTTATCCTAGATCATTTATTTAAATTTCCCAATTTAAAAGTACTTTAGGGCCTTTTTTCTCATTTAGCTGTAGGCAATTGATGTAATTATTTCTTCTCTCTTTAGCTCTGTACAATGGGTTAAATCAACTTTGTAAACTCCCATTTATATTTATTTGCTTCTTTATAAATTTATGTGTTTTTATATATACCCCCAAAATAATTGATGCAGATGAGTCTTTGGGACACAAGCATTTCAGAATTTTGTAAACTCTACAGATACTTAATATATCATTTCTATGAAACTTTTTATGTATTTGGGCCAACCAGGAAGCAATTAATTATAAAAAATTCTATATCATTTATTTTTAAATTTTATTTCTTTATTTCTTTATTTATTTTAGAGACAGAGCCTTGCTCTGTTGCCCAGGCTAGAGTGCAGTGGCACAGTCAGCTCACTGCAGCCTCAAACTCCTGGACTCAACTGATCCTCCCTCCTCAGTATCCCGAGTAGCTGGGACTACAGGCACGCACCATGCCCGGCTAATTAAAAAAATATATCTTTTTGAAGAGACGAGGTCTTGCTATGTTACCCAGGCTGGTCTCGAACTCCTGGTCTCAAGAGATTATCCCACCTTGGCCTCCCAAAGCACCAGCATTACAGGTGGGGAAGCTACCCCACCCAGCCTACATCATTCTTTTTTTTTTTTTTTTGAGACAGAGTCTCACTCTGTTGCCCAGGCTGGAGTGCAGTGGCCCATCTCAGCTTACTGCAAGCTCCGCCTCCTGGGTTCACGCCATTCTCCTGCCTCAGCCTCCCGAGTAGCTGGGACTACAGGCACCTGCCACCGCACCTGGCTAATTTTTTGTATTTTTGGTAGAGACAGGGTTTCACCGTGTTAGCCAGGATGGTCTCGATCTCCTGACATTGTGATCTGCCTGCCTCAGCCTCCCAAAGTGCTGGGATTACGGGCATGAGCCACCGCGCCCGGTCTACATCATTCATTTTTAAAGGATACATTTTGCTATAAACTAAAATGAAAGAAGCTTTAAAACCGATTCTTATATTTAATTATAATACTTTGTTTCTAGGGCATGGGAATTCGTTTCAGAAAAGACCGTTTCCTAGGGGAGAACAAAAGGGAAACATTGAATCTCTAATTAAAGTATTTCCTTAAGTCCAGTTTCTTAACCCGCCTTTTTAACCTGATTAAAAATTAGTAACTATATTATTTAAATTACATGTAAAAATGGAAGCTTATTCTAACTAAATGTTTTCTGCTTTTTTGTTTGTAGAGGAACACTGACGAGAAGACCTTATGAACCAGGAATATTTTGTACTCGATGTGGCAGACGTGACAAATGCACAGATTTTCTATGCAGTAAGATAAAGAAAATAAACATGAAAAAAATGCATAATGGATTGGACAAGAAAAATAAGCGATTGAACACTAGTTTTTTATGGTCATGTTAATATTATTCCTTTGATCAGAATGCTACTATTATGTTATCAAAGGATGGTTGACACAGTATCATCTTTAGATTTTTCTAAACTGCAGAGCTTTTTCTGTTCTATCTTAACCCTATTCCTTCCCCTGAGGACATACCAGAGTGTCAGAAAGAAAGAATGAGAACTAACAGTTATACCCTTAAAAAGCTTCACAGTTTATGCCCAAACAGCAGCCTGTTTGATAATAACTGCTTTAAAGGATAGTATATTCCAAAATATTTATGAAGTAGCATATATTTAATACCCTTTTCTTTTAGTTTTTCCTCCAAAAAGCTGAAATCTCCAAATATTTCAAAAGTAAAAAGTAGAAAATATGTTTGATTACATTTTTCTTTTAGTTTTTCCAAACATGAGAGAATATACTCCAAAAGTATAACTGTAGCTAAAATATACAATGCTTAGAGGAATATGGTAGGAGATAAATTTGGATAATAAGTAAATAGCATATTATGTTGTTTTTTAATTATTATACTTTAAGTTCTGGGGTACCTGTGCAGAACGTGCAGGTTTGTTACATAGGTATATACATGCCATGGTGGTTTGCTGCACCCATGAACCCATCATCTACATTAGATATTTCTCCTAAGCTATTCCTCCCCTAGCCCTGACCCCCTGACAGGCCCCAGTGTGTGATGTTCTTCTCCCTGTGTCCATGTGTTCTCATTGTTCAACTCCCACTTATGAGTGAGAACATGCAGTGTTTGGTTTTCTGTTCTTGTGATAGTTTGCTGAGAATGATGGTTTGCAGCTTCATCCATGTCCCTGAAAAGGAAATGAACTCATCCTTTTTTATGGCTGCATAGTATTCCATGGTGTATATGTGCCACACTTTCTTTATCCAGTCTATCATTGATGGGCATTTGGGTTGGTTCCAAGTATTTGCTATTGTGAACAGTGCTGCAATAAACATATGTTTGCAGGTGTCTTTATGGTAGAATGATTTATAATTCTTTGGGTATGTACCCAGTAATGGGATTACTGGGCCAAATAGTATTTTTGGTTCAAGATCCTTGAGGAATCCCCACACTGTCTTCCACAATGGTTGAACTAGTTTACACTCCCACCTACAGTGTAAAAGTGTTCCTATTTCTCCACATCCTCTCCAGCATCTGTTGGTTCCTGACTTTTTAATGATCACTGTTCTAACTGGCATGAGATGGTATCTCATTGTGGTTTTGATTTGCATTTCTCTAATGACCAGTGATGATGAACTTTTTTTCTTGTTTGTTGGATGCATAAATGTCTTCTTTTGAGAAGTGTCTGTTCATGTCCTTTGCCCACTTTTCGATGGGGTTGTTTGTTTTTCTCTTGTAGATTTGTTTAAGTTCTTTGTAGATTCTGGAAAAGAGACAGGGTCTTGCTCTGTCACACAGGCTGGAATGCAGTGGCATGATCATAGCTCACTGTAACGTCGAATTCCTGGGCTCAGGTGATCCTCCTGCCTCAGCCTCCCAAGTAGCTAATACTACGGACAGGTGCCACCATGCCCAGCTAATTTTTTTTTTTATTTTTTGCAGAGACAGGATCTTGTTGTGTTGCCCAGGCTGGTCTCAAACTCCTGGCCTCAAGTGATTCTCCTACCTCAGCCTCCCAAATATATTATGTTTTTGTGCTGAAGAAAAAACAGAAACAAAAACTAGTGGACAGTTTTACTATAACACCATTACAGGGATGAATCCACCCTAACATTTCTGCTCTTGCTTCACTTGAATCAAGATGCAAACTCTTGCTCTTCCTCTCTTCCTTGTCTTTCTTTTTCTGAGAAATTCAATGCTAAAGTCATTGGACAGGTCAGGGGAATGTAGTCATCTACACAGAGGGGCATCCAAAGGTGATATGTTAGAGCCTAAACAGCATAACAAAGGATCCACACGAGATGCAGTGGGCACGGAAAGGAAACCTAAGCAAGGTGAGGATGCTGTCCACATAGAGATGTGGCCATGTGTGGGAAGTCAGAGACCTCATGGAATGAAGTAACTGTCCATACATGAGGTTTGGGGTATCAGAGCCAGAGCAGAATAAAAAGATGTCCATGCAGGGATGACTCAGTATGTAGCATCTGTGCCCAGGCAAGGTGAGGAGAGCATCAACATGGGATGGAAGGGAGAGTCTGAGCCAGTGAGGAAGGCATCCCTGGGGGGATGGTCCTGCAGTGGTTGTTGGAGGCCAAGAAGAATAAGGAGAAGAGTCCATGTTGGAGTGGGCTGAGAAGAGATTTCAGAACCTAAGCCAGTAAAGGGGGCATCCATACTTAGGGGCAATCACACATGAGGTGTCTGAGTGCAAATTAGGTGAGGAAAGTTTTAATGTGGGGAAGATGACTTGACATGGGTGAAGTCAGGGCCCAAGTGGGGTAAGGAAGGAATCCACACATGCAGAAGCCCAGAGCTGGGTTTCAAAGTCTGAGCACGGTGGGAGGGTGTCCCAGCACAGGGCCAGCCCCTAAGTTGGCCAATTAATACAAGACAATTTTTCAGCATAAACATATTCCAAATATTACATTGGACAAACTTATACTAAAACAATATTTATTGCTTTCTGAGATTCAAATGTAACCTGACATCACTTATTTTTATTTGCTAAATCTCAGTGTCTAAGCAGAGTGAGGAGGGCACCTATGCGTGCTAGGGGCTAGAGACAATGATGGGAGATCGGAAGCATACTGGGGGATTGATCAAAAAAATAAATTAAAAGTATAATGGGGGCTAGTTTTCTCACTGTCAGAAATGGAATACAAATATGTAAAGGAAAAAAGTAAGCATGAATCTTATGGTGGTGAATTGGAATTTTAAGTGTTGGAAATTAAGAATTTTAATAAACATATATATAAATGTGTATATATACACAGATAAAACTATAACTATGGACTCAGTTTCAACATGTGAATAATTGTAGGGCCTCAAGAACAGAACCAAAACAATAGAACAGAAAATACAACTAGAGAGAAATATATAGATACTTAAATAAGTAATAAAACAAATTTTACAGAAATAAAATTACTTGAATCTTAAACATTGAAAGTGCACACTATGTGCCAGGAAAAAGTGACACAAAATAGTCAACACAGTAGACATAGACTAGTAAATTACTGGACTTCAGTGGAAAAGAAAGAATCTTAAAGCATCCAAGCAAAAATGTAAGATCAGTTATTAAGAAGTTTAACAGTCTGGGTTGAATTAGAAAAATAGTCACTCTAAGTATTTTAGCAATAAAGTATTTAACATAGGAAATACAGTTTATCTGAATACTGTAAACACTAAGGGAGTGAAGGTCAGGGAAGTGGCCACAGTAAGGCAGAGAAGTGGCTACAAAGCAGATAGTTCTCCATTGTATTATACTAAGAAGCCACTGTGAAACTCACATTGATCCATCTTACCTGGCCTACTATCACCCTGGTGGTTGCTTTTCTTATATCTTTCCTATTTCATTTGCATTCCTGTCATTGGCAAACTCTTACCTGAAGCTATACAGAGAAAATAATTCACAGAACTGTACTTCCTGGTTTCAGCTCTACAATACAAAATTGACTTCACACTCACGTGGTAGTAATGCTGCTTTGGCAATTGATGTTCCCACGTAAAGGGGGAAAATTCAGTCTGGCTTCAAACTTCTCTACCATAACAGTAAATGCTAAGAGATGGTGGAATGATGCCTATATACCCTTAATATAAGAAGTGTCAACCAAGAATTTATATACAGCAAAACCTATTATTCAAGTGTAATGAAATAGACAGATGTTTTGGGAGCATGCAGTTACATTTGGTGTATAGTTCTCATGAGCACTTCTTCAATAAACTAAAGGATGACATTCACCAAAAAGAAGAGATGAATGAAAAAACTTGAGTGAAAGAACTCTCTGTGAGCCCTGAATCTTAATGGATAGACTAAAACTCAAACAATCTGAGAGTTATAGTCACAAAAAAAAATACAAGAAATATTGGAAACATACAAATGATACAATTAATAAAACTTGGGAGGAGAAGAGAGAGATAGAAAAAATAGCTTGTTTCCTCATCATTTATAGCTAAGGGCCAAAGATACTAAATAGAATATTTAAAGCTGACAAACAATAGAGGTGTAAGTAAGTTTAAATGTATGTAACTATTTAATGAAACATATAATCAATGAAAATTAATGATGAGAAGTGAAGAAAGATGCAAAGAATAAACATACTATTACATAACTGCTCATACTAAGGTATCAATAGACACACAAATACCAAATGAGAAAATACAAACTATATGACAAAAGACTTTTTAAAAGAAAATCTAATATAGAAATCATTACATAAAATATAAAGTAAGACCAAGCGCAAAAGGCTAAAATAACGGCAAAGATCCAAAGGAAGGTCAGTTCATCTCCAAGGTGCCTTAACAATGAGTTCTAAATTTTCCCCTAAGAGTAATATTACTGCAAGACAAAGTTCTTTGTTGCTATTGGGTTCTCTACGTGAGAACTCATTTATCCTCCTACTATGCTTCCTAGTGGAATTCAGGATTGGTTATCTGACCATCATATTGTTTAGCTCTGTGTCCCCACCCAAATATCATCTTGAATTGTAATCCCCACATGTTGAGGGAGGGACCTGGTGGGAGGTAATTAGATCAGGGGGGCAGTTTCTCTCATGCTGTTCTCATGATAGTGAGTTCTCATGAGATCTGATGGTTTAAAGTGTTTGGCAGTTGCCCCCTGCCTCTCCTGCCACCATGTAAGATGTGCCTTGCTTCCCCTTCACCCTCTGTCATGACTGGAAGTTTCCTGAGGCCTCTCCAGCCATGCAGAACTGTGAGTCAATTAAACCTCCTTTCTTTGTAAATTATCCAGTCTCAGGTAGTTCTTTTTAGCAGTGTGAAAATCAACTAATACATGAAATTGGTACCAGTTATAGTGAGGCATTGCTGAAAAGATACCTGAAAATGTGGAAGCAACTTTGGAACTGGGTAACAGGCAGAGGTTGGAACCATTTGGAGGGCTCAGAAGAAGACAGGAAGATGTGGGAAAGTTTGGAACTTTCTAGAGTCTTGTTGAATAGTTTTGACCAAAATGCTGATAGTGATATGGACAATGAAATCCAGGCTGAGGTGGTCTCAGATGGAGATGGGAAACTTGTTGGGAACTGGAATAAAGGTCATTCTTGCTATGCTTTAGCAAACAGGCTGGTGGCATTTTTACCCATGCCCTAGAAATCTGTGGAACTTTGAGCTTGAGACAGATGATTTAGGGTATCTGGCAGGAGAAATTTCTAAGCAGAAAAGCACTCAAGATGTGACCTGGCTGTTTGTAAAAGCATACAGTCTTATGTATTCTCAAAGAGATGATCTGAAATTAAAACCTACGTTTAAAAGGGAAGCAGAGCATAAAAGTTTGGAAAATTTGCAACCTGACCATGTGGTAGAAAAAATATATATATATTTTTTTTTCTGGGGAGAAATTCAAGCTGGCTGCAGAAATTTGCATAAGTAACAAGGAGCCAAATGTTAATCACCAAGACAATGGGGAAAACGTCTCCAGGATATTTCAGAGATCTTCATGGCAGCCCCTCCCATCACAGGCCCAGAGGCCTAGGAGGGAAAAATTGTTTCATGGGCCAGGCCCAGTCCCCGCTGCTCTGTGTAGCCTTGGGACATGGTTCCCTGCCTCCCAGCCATTCCAGCTTAAGCTGTGGCTCAAAGGGGCCAAGGTACAGCTCAGGCCATTGCTTTAAAGGGTGCAAGCCCCAAGCCTTGGTAGCACCTTGGCAGCATCCATGTGGTGTTAGGCTTGCAGGTGCATAGATGACAAGAGTTGAGCTTTGGGAGCCTTCACGTAGATTTCAGAGGATGTTTGGAAACACCTGGATGTCCAGGCACAAGTTTGCTGCAGGGGTGGAGCCCTCATGGAGAACCTCTACTAGGGCAATGCAGAGGGGAAATGTGGAGTGGGGGCCACCACACAGAGTCCCTACTGGGGCACTGCATAATAGAGCTGTGAGAAGAGGGCCACCATCCTCCAGATCCCAGAATGACAACTTGCACTATGTGCCTGGAAAAGCCACAGGTACTCAATGCCAGCCTGTGAAAGCAGCCACAGGGCCTGAACCCTTCAGAGCCACAGGGGCAGAGCTTCCCAAGTCCTTGGGAGCCTACCCCTTGCATCAGCCCTGGATGTAAGACATGGAGCCAAAGGAGATTATTTTGGAGCTTTAAGATGTAATGACTGTCCTGTTGGGTTTTGAACTTGCATGGGGCCTGTAGCCCCTTTGTTTTGGCCAATTTCTCCCATTTGGAATGGGAGCATTTACCCAATGCCTGTACCTTCATTGTATCTTAGAAGTAACTAACTTGCTTTTGATTTTACAAGCTTATAGATGGAAGGGACTTGTCTTGTCTCAGATGAGACTTTGAACTTGGACTTTTGGGTGAATGCTGGAATGAGTTTAGACTTTGGGGACCCTTGGAAAGGCCTGATTGTGTTTTGAAATGTGAGAAGGACATGAGATTTGGAAGGGGCTGTGGCAGAATGATATGGTTTGGCTCTGTGTTCCCACTCAAATCTCATCTCAAATGGTAATCTCCAAGTGCTGAGGGAGGGACCTGGTGGGAGGTGATTGGATCATGGGGACAGTTTCCCCCATGCTGTTCTCATGATAATGAATGAATTCTCATAAGATCTGGTGGTTTAAAAGTGTTCGGCAGTTCTCCCCTCACTCTCCCTCCTGCCACCATGTAAGATGTGCCTTGTTTCCCCTTCACCTTCCACCATGATTTTAAATTTCCTGAGGCCTGCCCAGCTATGCAGAACTATGAGTCAATTAAACCTTTTCTTTTCTTTTCTTTTCTTTCTTTTTTTTTTTTTTTTGAGACAGAGTCTTGCTCTGTCGCCAGGCTGGAGTGTAATGGCACCATCTTGGCTCACTGCAACCTCCGCCTCCAGGGTTCAAGTGATTATCCTGCCTCAGCCTCCCAAGTAGCTGAGACTACAGGCAAAACCTCTTTTCTTTGTAAATTACCCAGTCTCAGGTAGTTCTTTATAGCAGTATGAAAATGGACTGATACATCTCTCAGCCCAAATGAGCAGAAGAAAGGGAATTTATTTCCTAAAAACTAGTATTATCTCATTGGACTAGTTAACTAAAAATATTGAATGCCAGGCTATAGAGCTAACTTTACCTTCTGGGAAATTAAGAGCAACTGAAAGCTTCTGAAAATAAGAATTAAATGAGGAAAGTGAATAGATTTCTAAGATTAATTAGGAGTTATCTGTGGGGGCAAAGGGAGATGAAAATAGATATTGTAGAATCCTAGAATGTTGGAGCTGGAACAATATTTTAAAGGCAGAAGTGGAGAAATGTATGTAAGGTCAATGACATAAAGCCAGAATTAGCACTAGAATGCATATCTCTTTACGCATATATTTCCATACTTTCTGTAGCAGACCAGGCTGATTTCACTAAAAGAGAATATATTGTACTTTAAAATTGGCCACTGGTTGGAGGGAGGACATCAAAGATAATGCCTGAGAACTAGGAGAAAGTGACACTATTATTGGGAGATTATCTTATTTTTTAGACAAAGAAGAAATTTTATGTAATTTTTGTGGACTTTCTTTTTCTTTCTAGGTAATGCAGATCGTGACCAAGCCACATGTATGTATTGTTGTCCTTTATTTCTTGAACAATTGAACTGCTTTATATGAAATCCAGCTTTCAATTGCTTCTTTGTTTACAGATTACCGATTTTGGTATCCAAAATGGGAAATGCCCCGGCCAGTTGTGTGTGATCCACTGTGCACATTCATTTTATTATTGAGAATATTATGTTTTATCCTGTGTGTCATAACTGTTTTGATAGTACAGTCTCAGTTTCCAAATATCTTGTTGGAACAACAAATGATATTTACCCCTGAGGAATCTGAAGCAGGGAATGAAGAGGAGGAAAAAGAGGAAGAGAAGAAAGAGAAAGAGGAAATGGAAATGGAAATAATGGAAATGGAGGAGGAAAAAGAAGAGAGAGAGGAGGAGGAGGAGGAAACACAAAAAGAAAAGATGGAGGAAGAGGAAAAATAAGAGTAGAAAGAGGAGGAAAAAGATGTATCACCAATATAAACCAAAAGTGTAATACAAAAAAAGACAGAAAAAAAAAAAAAGTAAAACACTGAGTTTTAACAAGAAAGAAAATATGCAAACCACCATTGGAATGTTTTTTATTCCCTTCTCTCCTATACTTATTCAATCAATTTAAATTTGTAAAACAAAGAAACAAAAAACATGTAAGGTGGGCTCTTTGACACTAAGAACAGATAAAGACATGACAGGAAAAACACTGAAAAACATTTGACCAGTCTAATTAATCTTAAGATTTCACCATGTTATTCTAATAAAGTAGGGAATTTTCATTTTCTAAACATGTTTCCATCTCTGTGTTTTAAATAGTAAGGTGCTTAAGATCATTCCAAGTTCATAACAACCATTGAATAAAATTTGTATTTTTTTGTTTTTACTGTTACTGTCATAGTTTTTATTGGTGGTAGTGGTATTTTCATGTGATATTAAGGTATCTAATATTATTATTTGTCTTTGTGGTTTTTGGAATAGTTTAAGTGGTACCTGTACATCCTGCTAGGATGCAAACTTATTATTTATAATTAATGTTCAATATTTCATTAAAGACTTGCTGTAATTTTCTGCCACCAAGGGCTAATAAATGCCATAATTTTAATTAGTTGTGGTAGAGGAATCTGGGTGCTTCCAAATTTATATGATAAAATAAATAAATTTTTTAAAAACTATTAACTTGTTATTCAATAGGTATAGTAAAAGTTAACAGATTAATAAGATAACTGCTTACCACTAGTAATACTAATAAATGAACTAAATAAAAATACCTAGCATAGGAGATTTCTTTATCTATAAAATAAATGGATAGCACTAGATGACCACTAAGACCTCTTCCATCAATGAATATTCATGGATCAACTTTGTAAAGGAATCAATAGTAGTTGTGAAGTACACTAAGCAAACACCTGAGGGAAAAACTTGATTCCCATGAAAATATTCCTGAACTCAGCACCTTATATGGCAAAATAATAAATACCTTTTATTACTCAATTTTAAAATAGGCAAAAAGCAATGTATAATATTTTTCCAATTGCCATTCCATACTCAGCTGTCTTATTGTTGCACACTTATTAGAACTCAATGTGACTGAGATGTGAAAGGTTGATATAATTCTATTTATGACAGGGACTTAGGGAACTTATTCTAATTGAGAATCAGAGGCTTAATAAACCTGAAGGTTTAAGTGAAAGAAATGACATTGAAAGAATCACTGCATATCTGATGTTTTCAAATAAAACAATCTCTGTTTTCTGGTTTTGATAGAATATTGTGTTCTAAAGCTATATTTCTCAATGTGTGGTTCCACTGAGGGAAAGAAAAAAAAAAAAACCTAGCATAGCCAAATACCTCAAATGGTATAAATGCTATGTGTATTTACTCTGTTGTTCTTTAGTTGTATCAATATTCTGTTAAAAACCTGTTCGAAGTAGGGCAAGATGAGAATTATATTAAAAAGCCCTGAGCTATCCTCTTGGATTTGAATGTTTCTGTTTGGTTTGTTTCCTTTGCTTTGTTTTTTTTTTCAAAGAGCTCCTGTTTGTAGAAATTAGATATTTTTCTATCTATGAAGTCAGCCTCTGTTCCACCAGTCCCCTGAGAAAAAGCCTTAGGTAGAGAAAAGGGCTAGTTCTCTACAGTGACGTTATTTATTATTATTATTGTACATTTGTGTTGTATTTCATAGCTTCCAAAGTCCTTTCATGTAAGTATTTGATATTCAAAACCATTCCTGTGGAGCTGGCATTGCTTCTATTTTTAAAATAAGAAAACTGACCTTGGATTTGTGAACATTTGATGCATTTACAAGTACAATTTCTTCATTTATTAATTCCCACACATGACTAACTTGTTATGTATCTGTATGCCTAACAGAACCTGGGCCTGGCCCAGGAAACCATTTTCTCCTAGGCCTCCAGGCCTGTGATGGGAGGGGCTCTGGTGAAAACTCTTGACACAGACTGGAGACATTTTCCCCATTGTCTTGGAGATTAACATTCATCTCCTCATTACTTATGCAAGTTTCTGCAGCCAGCTTCAATTTCTCCTCAGAAGATAGGTTTTTCTTTCTATCACGTTGACAGGCTGCAAATTTTCCAAACTTTTATGCTCTGTTTCTTTCATAAAACAACCCAAGTCACCTCTTGAAAGCTTTACTGCTTAGAAATTTCTTCCTCCATGTGAGAAATGGGAGTTCTTTTTCAAAGATTATAAAAAGTCACAATTTCTTACTATAAGATTGCTATATATATATAGTGGATTATATATATATATATAGTGGATTATATATATATAGTGGATTATTTATATATATATATATATAATGGATTTTATATATATATATAATGGATTATATATATATATTCCAAATCAGCTGTCCTAGCTTGCTCCGGCATGCCTGGACAGAAGTAGACAAGCCCCAGCCCATAGTGCATGCCACTCCTTATTTGGAGATGCTTCCTTAAGTATCCCTGGGCAACTTCCTTTTCTTTCTTTGTTCTATTCCCCTTACCTAATTAAGAAAGTTTTAAACTAATAACCAATCAGGTAAAGTGTAAAATGTGAGGTCCTATTCCAGCCAATGAAAACTGGACACAGCAGTAGGGTAGACATGTCAGGTTATAAATTACTCTGTCTCCTTTGTTTGGTGTGCTCTCGTGGCTGGATGGCTACTGAGTAGCACCCTTTCTGCAGAAAGTAAAGCTCACCTGGCTGAGAGATTGTTTGTTCCTGCATTCTTTTTTTTTTTTTTTTTCGACACCAAAAACTTCATTCCCAACATCCAGATGTCCTAAATGATCTCTCTCAAGTTCAAAGTTCCACAAATCTCTAGGGCAGGGGCAAAATGCCACCAGTCTCTTAGATAAAACATAGCAAGAGTCACCTTTACTCCAGTTCCCAACAAGTTCTTCAACCCCATCTGAGACCACCTCAGCCTGGACCTTATTGTTCATATCACTATCAGCATTTTGGTCAAAGCCATTCAAGAAGTCTCTAGGAAGTTCCAAACTTTCCCACATCTTCCTGTCTTCTTCTGAGCCTTCCAAATGGTTCCAACCTCTGCCTGTTACCCGGTTCCAAAGTCACTTCCACATTTTCAGGTATCTTTTCAGCAATGACTCATTCTAACTGGTACTAATTTACTGTATTAATCCATTTTCACGCCACTGATAAAGACCTACCCAAGACTGGGCATTTTACAAAAGAAAGAGATTTATTGGACTTACAGTTCCACCTGGCTGGAGGGGCCTCACAATCATGGCAGAAGGCAAGGAGGAGCAAGTCACATCTTGCATGGATGGCAGCAGGCAGAGAGAGAGCTTATGTAGAGAAACTCCCATTTTAAAAACCATCAGGTCTCATAAGACCCATTCACTATCACAAGAACAGCATGGGAAAGACCCACCCCCATGATTCAATCATCTCCTACTGCGTCCCTCCCACAACTCATGGGAATTATGGGAGCTACTGATGAGATTTGGGTAGCGATACAGAACCAAATCATATCACTACCCAAAGGAAAAGAAATAATTGTATTGAAAAGACACCTGCATCCATATGTTTATCACAGCACTATTCCAAAGACGAAGTCATGAAATCAACTCAAGTGGCAGGTATGTAATGTCCCTGTTATTTCCGATTGCGTTTATTTGAATTGTCTCTTTTATTCATGGTTATTCTAACCAACAGTCTATCAATATTTTTTATCTTTTCAAAGAGCCAATTTTTCATTTTTTGCTCCTTTGTATCATTTTTTTGGTCTCCATCTCATTTAGTTCTGCTTTGATCTTTTATTTCTTTTCTCTGCTAGCTTTAGGTTTTGTTTGTTTTTGTTTTTCTAGGTTTTTTTTTTTTTTTTTTTTAGGTACAATGTTAGATTGTTAATTTGAGATCTTCCTATCTCTTTAATGTAGGCATTTAACACTATAAACTTTCCTCTTAGAACTGCTTTTGCTGTATCCCAGAGGTTTTGGTATGTTGTGTATCTAGTTTCAAAATTTTTTATTGATTTCTGCCTTAATTTCATTGTTTACCCAAAGATCATTCAGGAGCAAGTTGTTTAATTTCCATGTATTTGTATAGTTTTGAGATTTCCTCTTGGTATTGATTTCTAATTTTATTCCACCCTGGTCCAAGAAGATACTTGATATGATTTTGATTTTTTTAAATGTATTAAGACTTGCTTTATGGCCAAGTATATGGTCTATTTTAGAGAATGTTCTATGTACTGATGAGAGAAATATATATTCTGCAGTTATTGTGCACTGTTCTGTAAATGTCTATTAGGTCTAGTTGGTTTAGAGTCATTTCAGTCTAGACTTTCTTTGTTGATTTTCTGCCTCCATAATCTGTCTAGTATTGTCAGTCAGGTATTGAAGCCCAACACTATTATTTTTTTTTTTTTTTTGAGGCGGAGTCTTGCTCTTTCGCTCAGGCTGGAGTGCAGTGGCGCTATCTCAGCTCACTGCAAGCTCCGCCTCCCGGGTTCATGCGATTCTCCTGCCTCAGCCTCCCGAGTAGCTGGGACTACAGGTGCCCACCACCATGTCCGGCTAATTTTTTGCATTTTTAGTAGAGACAGAGTTTCACCATGTTAGCCAGGATGGTCTCGATCTCCTGACCTCGTGATCCGCCTGCCTCGGCCTCCCAAAGTGCTGGGATTACAGGCGTGAGCCACCGCACCCGGCCTCACCACTATTATTTTATTGCTGTTGATCTCTTTTCTTACATCTAGGAATATTAGTTTTATGAATCTGGGTGCTCCAGTTTGGGGTACATATATACTTAAGGTTGTTATATCTCCTTATTGAATTGATCCCTTTATCATTATATAATGATCTTCTTTGTCTTTTTTTTTTTTTTTTTTTTTTTACTGTTGTTGATTTAAAGTCTATTTTATCTGATATAAGTATAGCTACTCCTGCTCACTTTTGGTTTCCATTTGCATGGGATATTTTTCTCACCCCTGTACTTTGAGTCTTTACTCATTAGGTGGCATTCTTGTAAGCAGCATATGGTTGAATTTGTCTTTTTATTCAATTCACCAGTCTAAATTTTTAAAGTGGAGCATTCAGTTCATTGACATTCAAGATTAATATTGATATGTGAGGTTTTATTCTTGTCATAATGTTAATTGTTACCTAGTTGCTTTCTAGTCTTATAATTGCTTTATAAGACCCATGAGTTTTCTTTTGTGTTCTTTTATAATGGCAAATATTATCCTTTTGTTTCTATGTTTAGAATTTCTGTGAGAATTTCTTTTAGGGCCAGGCTAGTGTTAACAAATTCCCTTAGCATTTGCATGTCTGAGAACTACTTCATTTATCCTTCATTTATGAAACTTGGCTTAGGAGGATACAGAATTCTTGGCTGGCAGTTCCTTTCTTTAAGAAGATTAAAAATGGAACCCCAATGTCCTCTGACTTGTAAGGTTTATGCTGAGAAGTCTGCTGTTAGTCTGATGGGATTTCCTTTATAAGTTATTATATGTTTCTCTCCTGCTGCTTTTAGGATTTTTTCCTTCACATTGACTTGAATAGTCTGAAGACTATATACCTTGATGAGGTATATCTTGTAGAGTATCTTCTAGGGATTCTCTTTGCTTCTTGTATCTGAATGCCTAATTCTCTAGCAAGACTAGGGACGGTTTCCCAAATTGTTCCCTTGGATAGGTTTTCCAAGCTTTTTACTTCTTCTTCTTCTTGCTTAAGATTGCCTATAACTCATAGGTTTGGTCACTTTACATAATCCCATATTTCTTGAAGGCTTTGTTTATTTATTTTATTTTATTTTTTAAATTTTTGTCTGCCTAGGTTAAATCAAAGGATTGGTCTTCGAGCTCTAAAAGTCTTTCTTATGCTTGTTCCAGTCTATTGTTAAAGCTTTCAGTTGTATTTTGTAACTCCTTCAATAATTTTTTTTATTTCCAGAAGTTCAGTTTGCTTTTTAATATGTATTTCTTTAGTAATTGTTTATTCATATTCTGAGTTTTTTTCTGATTTCGTGTTGGTTTTCAACTTTATCTTGGACCTCATTGAGCTTCCTTACAATACATATTTTAAATTCTTTATCTGTCATTTTAGAATTTTCATTTTGATTAAGATCCATTGCTAGAGAGCTAGTATGATCCTTTGGGAGTGTTGAAACACTGGTTTTTTATACTGTTGGAATTCTTACGCTGATTCCTTCTCATCTGAGGAAGCTATCATTTTTTATTTTTGAATTTACTTTCTTTTGAATGACACTTTTTTTCCCTCGAGGGTGTGACTGTAGTAATGTATATTGTGTATAATCATTTGGCTTTGATTCTGGGTGCTTTCAGTGAGCCAAGGTTCTGTATGAGTTCCTTAGTTATAGATAGCTTTTGTGTGGTGGCTTTCTTAAATGCTGATTGTAGTAGCAATGTATTGGGTATATAAGCAGGCTCACTACCTTCTGCCGGGCTGAGAGTGCAGAGGCCTCAGGAAGCTTATCTCATTCCCTAGCACTGTGCTCTTCAGTCAGCAGGTTTTATATTTGGTTGGGCACTTCAATTTCCAGTCCAGTAGGTGGTGCTTATGGGTAAAAGCTGGCTACCACAGAGGTTGATGCCTATGTTCTTTTTCTTTGTTCACTGGGAGGGGATTTCTGTTGTCACAGGCAGTTGGCTGGTCTGTGGACTACTCAATGCCCTGAGTTCCTCACTCAGCCCAGAGCAAGGGACAAATTTGGGCAGAGCTGGACTTCCAAACTCGTCTTTGAATACCCCAGTTACTAGTGGAAGCACCCACCCTGATGGGGCAGGGGGGCAGAGAGGGGCTCAGGGTCCTGAGGTCTCCACTATGGGGGGATAAAGGAGGCTGCACTAAACAAGAAGACAGTCTGCTTCCCTATCACACACCTGTCCAGGGGCTTTTGTTATTTGGTTCAAATAGATATTGTCCTTATCCTCAGCCCACAATTCAGCTGAGGTCAAGAAACATTCCCATTCCATGGCTACTCCTGAAATGGCCTTGGGGCAGAACCTCTTCCCTCAAACCTTAACAGACAGCTCTGCAACTCACTTGCACTCTGCCATAGGAATGCGAATGCTCCACATTGGGATGGGCCCCACCCTTTGTGCAAGCTTAGGCCAGTAGGCACACCATCTGTGGGGGTGAATTAACCCTCAATAGCCCTAGAAATGTTCTCCCCAGGTGCTGTTGTGCCAATTCCCAGCAGGGACAGCTGCTACTGTGTCAATTCCCAGCAGGGACATCCACAGCAGTAGATGAGGGGTGGAGGAGACCTTATTTCCACATCCGTTCCAGGCACTGGTACTGCCTGGCTGCTGTGGTGGAACCACCCTCCTCCCCTACAGAGCCCAACACCACACCCATTTCTCCGCTGGGAGGGGCACAATCATCGTCTTCTCACAAGCAGGGAGCTCTCAGGCAGATGAGAGTGCACAGTCTGGTTTCCTTTGTCCCAAAGGGTGCTTTGGCACTCTCTCCCTTTGGTGTGGGTGAGGGTGGGATTTTTGATCTGCAGTTGGCTGTATCCACAGACACAGCACCTGCAGATATGGAGGGCCAACTGTACTGCCTCTATGCTGGAACTTTAGCTGCACCTTCAAAAGACTATCCTAATGGTTTATCGGCCAGCAATTTCTACATAGTGTGATGTATAATACAACCAGTGGGTTCCACAGTCAGGACACCCCTCCTGAAACTCCTTTACTGCAAAGTGATACCTCTGATTGGATGCTTGCTTCTGTGGGATTCTATGCCTGTGAATCAGGAACTCAGTAAATCCCCAAATTGTGGTGTTGGCTAAGACTCTGAGGGCTGGAAAGTCAAATTCATATCCAGAATGGGTGTCAGAACAGGTATCTGTTTCAACGAGAAAGAACTATTGACTTTTCCACGATGGAAGGGGACTAATATAGTCAATTTATTACAAAATGCCAGTTGGTCTTTTCAAATAGTAGCATGGTGGGGACTCATCTACATTGTTGATAGGTCATACATACAGAGGTATTTGGATCAGCCTCAATAAGTGGGAGTTCATACAAACAGACTTATGTGTTGCATTCATGCATTCCATTTGCCTGTAATACTTATTCTGGGTAGAAAAAGGACCAAGGCTGACTAATGTCAACTGGTTGAGTCATTTTGTCTATTGATTATTCAGTGGCTCTGATAGGCATTAATCTATAGAAACTTTTCACACACCATTCCCACTCCCATATCTCCACTCATATGTCATTGGCCCAGACCCTCTTATTTCTGATCTTCCAATTCTTTTATTTCTAAACCCCTGAACTCTGGCCAGGCATTTGCCACAGTTCACACTTATTTTCACCTCAGGCCACTTCTGCTTTCATACAAAGTGAATGGCCAGGTACACCCAAAGTTCCACCTTGAAAATGTTCTCTCACCACTGTCTTTCAAGGCCGCCGCCCCTGAGTATGGCTGTAATGTAGCCATTGTCCATTTTCAGCTTGTACCCACCTGTCAAGCCAACCAACTGATAAACCAAGAATGAACTTTTTTTCATTTCCTTTATCTAGTGGGACAGGAACCCATCTCTCATATGGTGCTAAGTGAGAGCTGAAAGAAGATTACTGGTACAACTGTGGTGGGTGATATGGAGCTCTAGCTTGTCTGCTTACGTAGTTTACTTATGCCCTCTGTTTCTACTTAGATACAATCTTAAATGTACCATTTACATCTTATAGATATGTTGTAACTGGAACTGCCTAACTTTATGATTCAATCTGACAAAACACAAATCATGATGGATGGTTCTGGACACATGGTCACTTGGTATCCTATCAGTTTCTATGCTTCTGTCTTTGTAATAGAGAATACAAATGCAGCAATTTGTGCATCAGCATCTTCCTGACCCCTGAATTTCTAAAGTTCTTATTGAAGTGACAGATTCCTCTGGAGTGCATATGCCTTACCAAGACCTCTAGTATGCTAGTCACTTCTTGCTCATCCTGCCAGATCAGCATGATGCCATTAATATAATAAATCAATTTGAAATTGTACAGGATTCCAGACAGTCCAGATCTCTTCTAAATATTTTCTGTCAGTGGGTAGAACTGTTAACATAGCTCTAGGGCAAAATTTTATTCTTTCCATGTGAGTGCAAACTATTTCTGATTCTCTTGATTGATTAGGATTAAAAAAACACATTTGCCAAACTAATGCTGCATACTATATATCTGAGGCCTTATTAATCTGCTCAAGCAATAATACAACATTCAGCATGGCAGCTATGACTGGTTCTATTACTTGGTTGACCTTGTGGTAGTCCACAGGTTTCCTCCAAGATCCATCTATTTTCAGCAGGGACCAGACTGGTCCATTAAAAATACATAGGATAGGCCAGGTATTGTGGTTCATGCTTATAATCCTAGCACTTTGGGAGGCTGAGGTAAGTGGATTGCCTGAGCACAGGAGTTTGGGACCGACCTGGGCAACATGGTGAGACCCCACCTCTACTAAAAATACAAAAAATTAGCCAGGTGTGGTGGTGCATGCCTGTAATACCAGGTACTCAGGAGACTGAGGTACGAGAATCACTTGAATCTGGGAGGTGGAGGTTGCAGTGAGCTGAGATTGCGCCACTTCACTCCAGCCTGAGCAACAGAGTGAGACTCTGTGATATAGTTTGGCTGTGTCCCCGCCCAAATCTCAATTTGAATTGTATCTCCCAGAATCCCCATGTGTTCTGGGAGGGACCCAGGGGGAGGTAATTGAATAATGGAGGCCAGTCTTTCCCATGCTATTCTTGTGATAGAGAATAAGCCTCACGAGATCTGATGGGTTTTTCAGGAGTTTCTCCTTTTGCTTCTTTTTCATTTTCTCTTGCTACCACCATGTAAGAAGTGCATTTGCCTCTCGCCATGATTCTGAGGCCTCCCCAGCCATGTGGAGGTATAAGTCCAATTAAACCTCTTTTTCTTCCCAGTCTCAGGTGTGTTTTTATCAGCAGCATGAAAAAGACTAATTCAGTAAATTGGTACCAGTAGAGTGGGGCATTGCTAAAAAGATACCCAAAAATGTGGAAGCTACTTTGGAACTGGGTAACAGGCAGAGGTTGGAACAGTTTGGAGGGCTCAGAAGAAGACAGAAAAATGTGGGAAAGTTAGAGATTTGGTGAATGGCTTTGACCAAAATGCTGATAGCAATATGGACAATAAGGTCCAGGCTGATGTGGTCTCAGATGGAGATGAGGAACTTGTTGGGAACTGGAGTAAAGGTGACTCTTGTTATGTTTTAGCAAAGAGACTGGCGGCATTTTGCCCCTGCTCTAAAGATTTGTGGAAGTTTGAACTTGAGAAATATGATTTAGGGTATTTGGTGGGAGAAATTTCTAAGCAGCAAAGCAAGAGGTGACTTGGGTGCTGTTAAAGGCATTCAGTTTTATAAGGGAGGCAGAGCATAAAAGTTTGGAAAATTTGCAGCCTGACTAATTTCTTCTGGGGAGAAATTGAAGCTGGCTGCAGAAATTTGCATAAGTAGCAAGAATTCTAATGTTAATCTCCAAAACAATGGGGAAAATATCTCCAGGCCATGTCAGAGACCTTTGTGGAAGCCCCTCCCATCACAGGCCAGTAGGAAAAAGTGGTTTTGTGGGCTGGGCCCAGGGTCCCCGTGCTGTGTGCAGTCTAGGAACTTGGTACCCTGTGTCCCAGCTGCTCCAGCCGTGGCTGAAAGGGGCCAAGGTACAGCTGGGGCTGTTGCTTCAGAGGGTAGAAGCCTCAAGCCTTGGCAGCTTCCATGTAGTGTTGAGCCTGTGGGTACACAGAAGTCAAGAATTGAGGTTTGGGAACTTCAGCCTAGATTTCAGAAGATGTATGGAAATAACTGGATGCCCAGGCAAAAGATTGCTGCAAGGGCGGGGCCCTCATTGAGAACCTCTGCTAGGGCAGTGAGGAAGAAAATGTGGCATCAGAGACCCCACACAGAGTCCCTACTGAGGAACCACCTAGTGGAGCTGTGAGAAAAGGACCACTGTCCTCCAGACCCCAGAATGGTAGATCTACCAACAGCTTGCACCATGCACCTGGAAAAGCCACAGATACTTAATGCCAGCCCATGAAAGCAGCTGGGAGAGAGGCTGTACCCCGCAAAGCCACAGGGGCACAGCTGCCCAAGACCATGGGAACCTACCTCTTGCATCAGGGTAACCTGGATGTGAAACATAAAGTCAAAGGAGATCATTTTGGAGCTTTAAAATTTGACTGCCCTGCTGGATTTCAGACTTGCATGGGCCCTGTAACCCCTTTGTTACACCCAATTCCTCCCATTTGGAATGGCTGTATTTACCCAATACCTGTACCCCCATTGTATCTAGGAAGTAACTAGCTTGCTTTTGATTTTACAGGCTCACAGAAGGAAGAGACTTGCCTTGTCTCAGATGAGACTTTGGACTGTGGACTTTTGAGTTAATGCTTAAACGAGTTAAGACTTTGGGGGACTGTTGGGAAGGCATGAATGGTTTTGAAATGCGAGGACATGAGATTTGGAGGGTACATCTTTATCAGCAGTGTGAAAACAGACTAATACACTCTGTCTCCAAAATATATATGATAGGGACTACCATTCCTCCGATTTTAGATCTTTAAAGGGGAACAAATCTCTGTCATATCTTCAGGAAACAATATTGTTTTTTATTTTCTGTCTTTAAGCTTGGTAATGTCAGAGGCTGTGTCTTCCTCCACAGCCAAGGACCCAATGTCGAAGACTATCCAATAGTAAATTGGAGAGCCAGAGAAATGACCATGCAGTAAATCTGCAAACCAAATGGACCCACTGCAAGATAAACTTTAGCTAGTAATATTTTACCTTGCCCCATTCACCTCCATGTAACAGGGCCCATGGTGATACTTTGGCTCTCTGCATATCAATGTCAACCCAGATCCTGTGTCCAATAGTCTCCCAACTGTGTGTATATTCTCCTTTTCAAGTACTTATTCACCACATAAATGTCCATGGATCCCTTTGGGAAAGACTAGACAAATCTTTAGAGTACATACAGAAGGGGGTTACTAAGGAATCTTTAAAGTACGTACCAGTGGCGTTTTTCCAAGGAATTCAGCCACCTCTTTAGTCTGTAGGTTCCAGGTCTGAAAACTGTCTGAAATCCAGTAATTAAGCAAGGGATCATGATTTTTTACGACTTACTTCCTTGAACCACTGCTAAAACCAGCTGTGCTAGTTCAGATTCTCCAATACTAAAAAGAAGGTGTGCTAGTTCAGAAGGCAATGTCAAGATAACGTCAGAAGCGCAAGAGATAGTGGTCCAAGAGACTTACCTCCTTGGACCACTACTAAACTTACTAAGACTTACTTCCTTGGGCCACTAGTTCAGACGCTCCACTACTAAAACCAGCCATGAGAAGTGCAAGAGATTTATTCATTGATGGGTGTAAAAGCTAAGGCATTAACTAGTATGATATGGGAAGGAGAAAGAAAAAGAGTAACTTTACAGGAGAGAAAACTGACAAACACTACCTCAGCCAGGTGATCCAGGTCACCATCAGGTCAACATCAAGTCATGTTAATAGTCACGTTAATAGTATGTATTTTTGATATGACGAGAATAGCACTTTTCCTCCGTGGTCTTCTTCCCAAGAATACATAATCCCAGCCTAACTGTGAGAAAAGCAACAGATGAATCTCAAATGAGGAACATTCTCTAAAATACCTGACAAGTACTCTTTAAAACTGTCAAAGTCATCAAAAACAAAGGAAGTCTGAGAAACCATCACAAACACAAGGAGACTAAGATTAGAAGTATGTCTACTCAATGTAATATGATATCCTGAATGGGATTTTGGAAGGGAAAATAAAAGGGTATTAAGTAAAAACTAAAAAAAAAAAAATAAAGTGTGGACTTTAGGTTAATGATAATGTATCAACATTGGCTCATTAATCATGAAAAATGTTCAATGTAAGATGTTAACAATAGGGGAAAGTTGGTATGAGGTATATGGGAACTCTGTACTATAAAATTTTCTGCAAATCTAAATGTGTCCTAAAATATAGAAGTTTCTTAAGAACATTTTGTAAAAAGTGTATTTTATGGCACATGAAAATTACATAAAATTTAAATTACAGTGGCCATGAAAAAAGTTTTATTATATCACACACACACACACACACACACACACACACACACACACACACAATAAATGGCAGAGGAAACAGGAGTAGACAGAAAATGCTTTATACCACAATGTATATCTGATACTTTTGAAGGGGAGTGGGGCTGGGGGAAGGACAGAGATTCAGGAGGAAGAGGCTCTAATTGCAACTCTGAAAAAATCTGAGCCCACGCAAGGGAAAGTTGTGGCACAAAAATCCTCAGTGGAGATCTTTTGTGTCGGGAGAAGTATGTGTTGGGCAAAAATGTCTTAGTACAGTGTCATGCTTAGTCATTGAGTGGGGCTGGCCAGGAAAAGAGTGGCCTTGGCTGAAATGCTGTGGCAGATTTCAAAGGTGCTGCAGCTGGAGACTGTCAGCTCACTGCACTCCTTTTGACAAGTTCTCTTGAAGGGAAATCTCAGGGATGTGCCTCCATATTGCCACATGGGTAAAGCAGATTCACCTGAGTAACTGAGAGTGACATTTCACATAGATCAAAGCTGTAGGGAAAAGAGAGATCAGACTGTTACTGTGTCTATGTAGAAAAGGAAGACATAAGAAACTCCATTTTAACCTGTTCTCTGAACAATTGCTTTGCCCTGAGATGCTGTTAATCTGTAACTTTGCCACAACCTTGAACTCACAAAAACATGTGTTGTATGGAATCAAGGTTTAAGGGATCTAGGGCTGTACAGGATGTGCCTTGTTAACAAAATGTTTACAGGCAGTATGCTTGGTAAAAGTCATCGCCATTCTCCATTCTCAATAAACCACGGGCACAAACACCGCAGAAAGCCGCAGGGACATCTGCCCTGAAAAGCCGAGTATTGTCCAAGGTTTCTCCCTATGTGATAGCCTGAGATATGGCCTCGTGGGATGGGAAAGACCTGACCATCCCCCAGCCTGACATCCATGAAGGGTCTGTACTGAGGAAGATTAGTAAAAGAGGAAGGCCTCTTACAGTTGAAATAAGAGGAAGACCTCTGTCTCCTGCCTGCCCCTGGGAAAGGAATGTCTCGGTATAAAACCCGATTGTACATTTGTTCTATTCTGAGATAGGAGAAAAACCGCCCTGTGGCGGGAGGCAAGACATGTTTGCAGCAATGCTGCTCTGTTATTCTTTACTCCACTGAGATGTTTGGTTGGAGAGAAGCATAAATCTGGCCTACGTGCACATCCAGGCATAGTACCTTCCCTTTAACTTATTCGTGACACAGATTCCTTTGCTCAAATGTTTTCTTACTGACATTCTCCCCACTCTGCTCTCCTGCCACATTCCTCTTGCTAAAATAGTAAAAATAGTAATCAATAAATACTGAGGGAACTCAGAGACCGGTGCTGGTGCGGGTCCTCTGTATGCTGAGCGCCGGTCCCCTGGGCCCACTGTTCTTTCTCTATACTTTGTCTCTGTGTCTTATTTCTTTTCTCAGTCTCTCCTCCCACCTGATGAGAAATACCCACAGGTGTGGAGAGGCTGGCCCCCTTCACAAAGCATTTGTACAGCCTATCTTATAGCTTTTAAGCTTTCAAGGAGAAGTTGAGGGGGAAATAACTGTGGGGGTTTTTAAGAAGGATTCTGACTAAAGAGTCTGAGATTAAACTCCCTCCATAAGAAAAATAATTCCTGGAGGATGAGATGAAAATTCCAATTGATAAGCTGGTCGGGAAGATCTGAAGCTATATGGTTAGGTCATGGTGTAATGGCCTGAGGATAAGTAACTGTGCCTTCCTGAACTCTTGGGTACTGAGCTCAATGCACAATATAACCCAAATCACAGGGCAAGAACCATATCCAAATATTAAAAGGACACAGAAATGCAGTGGTGAAAGAGTGAAAAGTGTTGGACTGGCAAATCTGACAAATTGTTATGAGGAACACCTGACCCTATTGTTGGTACAAATGTGATGCGTGAGTAGGAAACTCAGCTGGTGCCACTGAGAGTTAAGTAAGGAAGTTTCTTTAAGTGGGAACCTTGGAGTAGTCAAAGCTGAAAGACAGGGAACCATTTTAATAGAATGGCCCCATGGGGTATAATAGGAAACTACTTCTGGCCGAAGGCTGGCGGAGTGCTATAGGGAAGAACATTGGGCTTTTAGACCTAATGATCCTTGATTCAGTTACTCAGCTCTTTGTCTTTTAAATATAACTATAAGCATTCTAGTGGGTACTGGATGAGACTATACCTTCTAATGAGTGACTTCAATAGTTTTAAGATCAAAGATTCTAATAAGAACTTGAGCATTGCATGAAAAGCATTTAAATAAGAAACACGCAGCTCAGCAAACTGAACTGATTAAATGCAAAGAATATATTCATAAACCTGCAAAGGTGAGTAGCATGGAAGGAAACCGTGGGATCTATGAACAATGGAAGTCACCTCCCTACAGACAAGACTGTCCCCATGAAATGACTTACCTCTAACATTGAAAGCTTGTGCCCCACTGTATGAGACTCTTAATTCATAAAAGGGGGAAAAAAAAACATGGAGCTTGGTTTATGGATGACAATGCTTGATTAATAGAGATTTGTATTTGAAAGAATGCCAACTAACAGAAAATTTCTAGTAAAAAATGGAGTATATCAGCAAAATTGACAGAATTATATCCAATGTGGCTGGCATAAACTCCCATTGAGATAAATGGATGAGATAGATAGATACATACATTGATATCTACTATTATAGATATCTATTTATATAATAACTCTGTCAATGACTAATGTTCTAACTATTTGTTTTGGCAAGTGAGGCACAGTGAATCAGACATAAAAATACCAATCATTAGGATGCTGGATTAAAAAAAAAAAAAGCCATGAGTCTTTAATTTAAAAGTAAATAGTGGTCATACCAATGCCCTTCAGTCACATTCAGAGGTAGAAAGTGAGAGTGACTGAGACTACAAGATACATTTAGTGTTAGTGATTTCTTTCAGTCTTTGGTATGAGTTAGGGGCACAAAATATCTCTTGGAGTATACATGAAAGAGAAAGGGGAGAAATAATTAGATTAAAACTTTGAGATTAAGTCCTGCCATATAAACACATTATCTGAGCTCTTGTCCAGTTATTTCTTTAGGATAAGTTGTTAAAACTGGGATGGTGGGGTATAAAAATATTGAAGGCATTTGATTTGTTTTGCCACAGTAATCTTTTGGAAATGTTAATAGCTCCTATCATCTATGAATGAGAGTGCAATCATCAATTTTATTCTGTCAATCTGACAGACTACAAATGCCATCTGCATGTTTTAATTTACATTTTTAATGCTAGTGAGGTAGGAAATTTTTTAATGCTTTAAAGTTCTTTTATTGATTGCCTATACAAATTCTTTGGCCATTCTTTAGTTGGTGTTTTTGTCAATTTATTATTGACATGTAAGACTACATATATTTAGGGATGCTAATCATGCTATGTTACATGGGTTGCAATATCTCTCCCTAGTTTGCCATTTGCCTTAATATTTGCCTATGATGCTGTTTAGAATCTCTCTATATAGCAGGAAAGATGGCTGTCAGTATCCTAGGCCTATCCCTTACATCTCACAAAGAAGAGACTGTGGTGTGTCTTACTAGCTTCAGCCCAAAATTCCTAGGAATGACTCAAATTGACTTATCTTAGACCATGTTCTAATTCCTGAATCAATCACTATCCTCAAAGAATGCAGAGAAAGATCAAGAAATACTTTGATTGGCCCAATCTGGAATCTGTGCCCATTTTAGCACCTGGAGATGGAGGACTAGGGCACCATAACTGAAGCCAAAACATGGCTACAGAGAGCAGGTGGATAGCAAAACGTTCCAGACACAGGAACACTATACTTTACCACAGTTAACTGCAGCAGTGTGCCACTGTAATTTTTCCCAGGTTAATAGACAATAGTCCTGACCTCGCTTCGTGAATAACCAATTAATCACTCAAATATGTTTGGGCACATACCAGACCTAAAAAAATCTCACAATTGTGGTCAAATATAATTTTGAATTTGAAATTTCAGCACTGGAAACCGCTGAATTAAACAAAGTTAAAGTGATCCTTCCTATGTACTACAGGAATTCTCAGAGCCTTTGAGATGCCAAGTATGAATTAGGTACAGTTAAACTGTGTGTGGAATACACAGAAGTTTTTGTGCTTTTTATCATTGAGGACTTTCTCACGTATCTATTTTTTTCAAAAGAATACAGTTTGGTAAAATGTTCCATATATTAAATTATTATAAACACCTGCATTTTTTCTGGACTTTTAATTTTATTCCATTGATCTATTTAGTTAAGTTTGTCATAAGAAATGGATTATACTGAGATGCTGTTAATCAAGAAATATCATATCTCCTCCCTCCCCTCAACACCCACTCCCTGGCTGCATGAGAATTATAGAAGACAAAGTAATTGTTTACTGTTAGCAAGGGCTTTATCCCCAAATCCCACTAAAGAACCACAGTGAGTTTGCTTAAGCCATGTCCAGCTATGGCCTGTGCATTCTCTCACCCTACTACCTCAACTTGGCTCTCAGAGCCTACCACTGAGTAGAAATGAAACCCATACCTGCCAGCACCAGAGAAAACAGAAGCAAAGGAATTTAGCAGATATATATCACAGGCCTATCCTATGTGGGTAACAGGGGAAGTGTTACAAACTCCAGAATGAGCTGCCTCCAGGCATGGAAGAAAATAGAGAAAAGAGCACATCTATGTTTATTAAGACTTTTTAGTTTGTTTGAGTGCTGTACCCAAACAACATGGCCCACTCAATGCAACGAAAAATGATAAGTCAAGATCAGTATTCTTGCTAGAGGCAGAGTAAGAGATCTAGAATGAATATGAGTGCCTGAGCTCCTAAAAGAAGCCAATTTATTCATTCTTCTACCAGTGAAATTATTATGATTAGTGTATTTTCCCATTCTGCTTAGAAAAATCACTCATTTTCTTTTTTCAAGTTTTTGTGCTAGTCTCACTTATCTTTTGAATGAACTCTAAGATACTTTTGTCATGTTATAAACAAATCCAATTATTATTATTATTATTTTTGAAGTGGAGTCTCACTTCTTTGCCCAGGTTGGAGTACAATGATGCAATCTCAGTTCACTGCAACCTCCGCCTCCCAGATTCAGGAAATTCTCCTGCCTCAGCCTCCCAAGTAGCTGGGATTATAGGCAAGTGCCAGCACGCCTGCTAATTTTTGTATTTTTAGTAGAGATGGGGCTTCACCATGTTGGCCAGGCTGGTCTCGAACTCCTGACCTCAAGTGATCCGCCCGCCTCAGCCTCCCAAAGTGCTGGGATTACAGGCGTGAGCCACTGTAACCGGCCCAATTAATATTTTTTAAAACTTTATTTTGTTATAGAAGTTTTAGGTTCACAGCAAAAATAAGAGAAAGCTACAGAGATTTCCCATATATCTCCTACCCCTACACATGCATACTCTCCCCCATTACCAACATGCCCCTCCAGACTGCTATATTTGGTGAACCTGCATTGACACATCATAATCACCCAAAGTCCACAGTTTATATGAGAGCTCACTCTTGGTGTTATACATTCTACAGGTTTGGACAAATGTATAATGACATGTATCTGCCATTCTACAATCATACAGAGTTGTTTCACTGCCCTAAAAATCTTCTGTGCTCTGCCTCTTCACCCCTCCATTCCTCTTCAACCTCTGGCAACCACTGATCTTTTAAATATCTTTTATAGTTTTGTCATTGAAGTATCTCCTATGTTATCTCCTAGGAGTTTTAGAGTTTTGTCTTTTCCATTTAGGTCTATGAACAATTTTCATTTAAATTTTTGTGAAAGATGTAGGATCTGTGTCTAGATTAATTTTTTTGAATGTGGATGTGCAGTTGTTCCAGTACAATTTATTGAAAAGACTCTCGTTGCTCTATTTTATTACCTTTGCTTCTTGGTCAAAGATTAGTTCACTATATTTATGCAGGTCTATTTGTGGGCTTGCTAGTCACACCATTGATCAATTTGTCTAATCTTTTGCCAATAACATTATAGTAAGTCTTAAAGTTGGATTGTTTATTTAGAAGTGTGCTTATTTGGGGATTTTTTGGTTACCTTTCTGTTATTAGTTTCTAGTTTAACCCCACTGCAGTCTGAACACAGACACTGTATGATTTCTATTATTTTAGATATGTTAAGGTGTGTTTTATGGCCCAAAATGCAGTATATCTTCATAAATGTTCTATGAAAGCATGAGAAGAATGTGTATTCTGCTGTTGTTGAATGAAGTAGTCTATAGATGTTCATTATATCCAGTTTATTGATGGTGTTACTGAGTTCAACTGTGTCCTTACTGATTTTCTGCCTGTTGGATTTACTCACTTCTGACAGAGTTATGTTGAAGTCTCCAACTATAATAATGGTTTAGTCTATTACTCCTTTCATTTCTATCACTTTTTGCTTTATATAATTTGATGCTCTGTTGTTAGGTACAGTCACATTATGGATAATTGTCTTTCTGGAAAATTGACCCCTTTATCATTAAATAATGGCTTTCATTATCCTTGATAATTTAACTTGCTTTGAAGTGTGCTTTGTCTGAAATTAAGATAGATACTCCTGCTTTCTTTTTGATTAGAGTTAGCATAGTATATCTGTCTTTATATTTAAAGTGGACTTCTTAAAGACAACATATAGTTGGGTCTTGCTTTTTGATCCACTATGACATTGTTAGTCTTTTCATTGGTAAACTTAGATAATTGACATCCAAGGTGATTATTGATATAGTTGGACTAATATCTACCATATTTGTTATTGTTTTCTATTTGTTTTCCTGTTATTTGCTCCTATTTTTGTCTTTCACTCTTTCTGCCTTTTATGGTGTTAATTGAGCATGTTAATTGAGATTCCATATTCTCTCCTTTCTTAGCATATGTCATATATATATAATTTTCTTTTTACTTTTTTACGTGGTTACCCTGGAGTTTGCAGTATACATTTGCAACTAATCCAGTCCACTTTAAAATAGTTTGCCACTTTACAGGTAACGTGAGTGCTTTCTAATAACAAAATAATCCTAATTTCTGTTTCTTATCCCTTGTATCATTATTGTCATCCATTTCACTTATATATAAGCATATACAGTATACGCACATAAGACATGTACATAAACATACATAATCAAGTACATTGTTGCTATTATTATTTGAACGAACTGTTATCTGTTAGATCAATTAATAATAAGAAACATACAAGTTTTTGTTTATCTTCACTTTTTCCTTCTTTGATGATCTTCCTTTCTTTGTGAAGATCTGAGTTTCTGGCCTAAATTATATTATTGTCCTCTCTGAAGAACTTTTTTAACATTTCTTGCAAGGCAAGTATACTGGCAACAAATTTTCTCAACTTTTGTTTGAGAAAGGTTTTATATCTCCTTCCCTTTTGAAGGAATATTTCACAGGGTACAGAATTCTAGGTTGTCATTTTTCCTCCCAGCACCTTCAATATTCCACTCTACTCTCTTCTTGCTTGCATGATTTCTGAGGAGAAATCAGGTGTAATCCTTTGTTCCTCTATAGGCAAAGTGTTTTTGAACTCTGGCTTATTTCACGGTTTTTTCTTCACCTGTGATTTTCTATAGTTTGAAATAATATGCCAGTGTAGGGTTTTGCTTTTTGTATTGTTTGGCATTTATCCTCCTTGGTGTTCTCTGAGTTTCCTGGATCTGTGATCTGGTGTCTGATAATAATTTGGGGAAATTCTAGTCATTATTGTTTCAAATGTTTTTTCTACTTCTTTTTATTTTCTTTTTGGTATCCCCCTTATACATATTTGCACCATTTGTGATTGTTCCACAGTTTTTGGATGTTGTTTCCTATTTTTTACAATCTTTGTTCTCTTTGCTTTTCAGTTTTGGAAATTTCTGTTGATAAATCTATAAAAATCAAGGCAAGTGATTCTTTCCTCAGCTGTGTCCAGTCTCCTAAAGAGCCTGTCAAAGGCATTCTTCATTTCTGTTATGGCGTTTTTTATCTCTAGTATCTTTTTAATTCTTTCTTAGGATTTTCATCTCTCTGGCTCCATTGCCATCTGTCTTGCATGCTGTCTACTTTTCCCGTTAGAGCACTTACCATATTAATTATTGCTGTTTTAAATTCCTGAGCTTATAATTCCTACATCCCTGCTATGCCTGGTTCTGATGAGTGCTCTATTTCTTCAAATTATTATTATTATTTGTTGGCTTTTTAGTAAGTCTTGTAATTTTTTATTGACAGACATACATGATGTACTAGGTAAAAAGGAAATGCTGTAAATAGTTATTATTTAGTAATGTGGTGCTAAGGTGTCAAGGGAGGCAAAGTGTCCTATAATCCAAACATTAGGCCTCAGTCTTTCAGTGAGCCAGTGTCCCTGGACTGTAAAGTGTACAAGTGCTCCTCAGTTTCCCCTCTCTCCTTAGGTGAGACAAGATGGCTAGAGTGGGCTGAAGTTGAGTATCTCCCTTCTCTAATGTGGAGTTGGTATTTCCTCCAAGTCAATTAGGCTTGTATAAAACCCCTGCAGGTTAGGCTCTGGTTAAATAGCTTCTGCTGAGAGCAGACCTTGTTAAGAACAGAGTACTCTGGAGTATTTCAAAATGGTTGCTTTCTCCTTCCCCCTGCCAGAAGCAAAAGGTAATTTTTTTTTTCTGTGAGGACCTTGTCGAGTTCCTAGAGGTAAAATTCACAGAAGTTTGGGGTTCCCTTGGAGTTTTTAACCCTCAGATTTGTCTACATTGAACCTCCAGCAGCTCATCAATTACAGTTCAGGTTTTCCTATGCTGGCACTGGTTTCTGCAGCAGCCTCTGCTCATGAGTCAGCTCTGGTAAGTCATGACTCTCTTTGTTTGCCTGTCTGTCTCTCTAATATTGAAGGCAACAGTTTGCCCTGTGTCCTCACCTCACTTAAGTATCCAAAAGGAGTTGTTAATTTTTCTTGTCTTTCTTTCTTTTTTTTTTTTTTTTTTTGAGATGGAGTCTCTCCCTGTTTCCCAGGCTGGAGTGCGATGGCATGATCTCGGCTCACTGCAACCTCCGCCTCCCAGGTTCAGGCGATTCTCCTGCCTCAGCTTCCTGAGTAGCTGGGACTACATGCGCCTGCTATCATGCCCAGCTAATTTTTGTATTTTTAGTAGAGACAGGGTTTCACCATACTGGCCGGGCTGGTCTCGAACTCCTGACGTCAGGCGATCCATCTGCCTCAGCCTCCCACAGTGCTGGGTTTTCAGGCATGAGCCACCGCTCCCGGCCAGAGTTGCTAGTTTTTCAGTGTGTTGAGCTTTTTACTTGGTAGGATGGAGTTGTGATGTCCAAACTCCCTACATGCAGAATCACAAACCAGAAGTCTTTCAATCAGTAATTCTACTTAGGATTTTTATAATTGGGATCATATTCAATTTATATTTGAGGAAAGAAAAGTACTTTTATCTGAGGAATGTGAGCCCTTTCAAATTATTGGGCCCAGAGAGACATTAAAATGAGACAGCAATCATGTCCTACTTCCCCATTTTGAGCTACATATTCATCTATTGAAACTACTTGCTATTGCCTATAAATTAAACTAATAATGCCACACTGGACACCATAACCCACAACCCATGGCTTAACAATGTATAGCCAATCACTAATCAATGTTATTTCTGTAAACCTATGAGAATTCCTGACAAATAACTTTGTATTAGCCCACTCCCTGGCCCATTTTTTTGCCTTTAAAAATCCACTTGCAGCTGTTGCTAATTGGAGTGTGTATTCAGGGCCATTGAATCTATGCTCCCAGGTTGCAGTCCTCAGTCTTGGCTCAAATGCTCTGCTTATATTAATTTTGCCTCAGCTTCTTCCTTTTAGGTTAATATAAGTTGGTGAAAATTGACACTTTTCAATGCAATTTTCTAATTCATGAAATTGGCTCCATATTCATTCAATTTATGTATTGTCTCTTGTCTCTTAATTGCTTTCCTCTGTAAGACACTATTTTGCCTCTGCTGCTCAGCTGCTTCTTTCACTATTTTTTTCTTCCTTGAGGATGCCTTCTATATCCTCCTTACTCTTTTCTCTCTTGTTCATGATACATTCCTGAATTACAAATAAATAATGTACTAATATGTATATATTTGAGTCCTTAACAATTTTATAATTTATATATAATTATTAGGATGTAAATGCTTAATGCTATAAGTTAATAGATTATTCAATGTCAGGGGCATCTGCATACATGTTACTCTCTACCTTTAATGCTAAATTTATTCTAATTTTTAAAGCTATGAAAATCTATTTTCTCAAGCAGGTAATATTTATTAAATAATCATTCTTCCTTTAAAAAGTAGATTATAATTATAGCTCTAATATGACATAATCTATTGAACTGTTTACATAACTTAAGAGAAAGAAGAGTAGTATTTTTGTAAATATAATGATTTAAAAACTTTGTCTTGTACTAAAACTTCAATACCTGGAAGCAAACTACCTGGATTCACAATTTCTACTGTGATTCCTTTACAGAGGTATAGTAATGCTTATTTTGTTACCCTCCCAAGATGATCCCAAAGAAAATCTTTCTCTAAGCAGATTCCATTATATTGCTGTCCTCTCAAGTTAAGGTACTCAGGAATTACCAGCAAAATCTGGATTAGATGCTGTATTAGTTTCCTAGGGTTACAAACTGGGTGGCTAACATCAGAAATTTATTCTCCCTCACTTCTGGAGGCTAGAAGTCTGAAATCAAGGTGTTGACTGGACCATGCTCCCTCCCAAGCCACTAAGAGAAGATACTTTCTTGACTCTTCCAGCTTCTTTAGCCCCAGGAATTACTTGGTTTGTGACAGCATAACTCCAATCTCTGCCTCTGTCTTCTCATGATTGTCTTCCTTCTGTGTGTTTCTGTGTCTTCACATGGCATTTTTTCCTCTGTGTCCGTATTCCTCTTATAAGGACACTAGTCATATTGGATTTAGGTCCATCTTAATGACCTCATCTTAACTTGATTACACGTGCAAGGACCCTATTTACAAATATCATTCTGAAGTACAAGGAGTTAGGACCTCAACATATCTTTTGGAAGGATACAACTCAATCTATAATAGGTGCCTTGGGCGGGATGCTGATATCTCTCTGAATAACTTCCCTTAAAGTAACTTAATTTTTTTTGCCTCGCACACAAAGCAGAAAGTAGCTATCTCCATTGTATCACCACTCTGATATAGGCACCAGCCCTTCCCTCTATCTTCTTCATGCTTACTGTGTAGAGGTGAAGCCATAGGCAGAACAGCTATCTTGTGACTACAAGATAAAAAGTATGAGTGGAATGGCCTGAGGCTGAGGATGATGAAGCAGGAGTATAGAAAAAGCTTGAAATACTGTTGACATTACATTGATATTGAGCCCTCCCTGGGTTGCTCCTGTCCCCATTTGGACTTCTTTTTATTTTAGAGACGTTATACTCTATAGCAATTAAGTTATTGTAAATGAGTTTTTGTGCAACTAATCTATGTTCTCTCATGTTTGGTTTCTCCCTTGGAAAACAACCTCAAAACAGTGGAACTCGAAACAGCTTGTTTCTTTTCGCACTGGTTCTTGTGCCTGATAGTGGGGAAGCTGAAGGCAGGCCTTCCCATTCTGGCCCCGCCCATCTTTCCCCACTTCCAGACACTAAGCAGGGAGCTCAGACCACTGTGCACTCTGCCGATCAGCCTATTGCCTGAGGCAACAAAGAGTTTCTCCCGGTAAACAATGATCATGTATATACCCAGCTACATTGGCTGCAGCCAGCTCTTACTGGATAGTAGCTTAAACCACAAAGCCTAATATAAAACCTGCTGACAAAAGTGCATAAAGCTGTAGAAGCAAAGCCAAAACACCCTATCCACCATTCTCTACAGTCACACCCCCTAGGGTGAGGGAGAGGAAAAGGGAAACAAAATTATAGGGAAAGAAACAAAAATCCTACTGCTTATGCAAGCTTTTGAAAGTGAATCACGTTTATAAACGATTAAATATTGGCGTATCTTAGAAGTGCAACAGAAGCAGATAACATCTTTTTAATATAATAAGTAGTATATATTTTAGTCCTATTTTTCTTTTTTTGTTTTGTTTTAAATCAAAGTATGACTAACATCTCCACACCTATTAATGAAGTTGTAAATTATGATTTCATCAGTGACAGATGTTTTCCTCACAAAAAGGACTATCAGTAGCAACTTACTTTTTCCCATGTGTGATTGTGTTTGACTTTGTCTTTGCTGACTTTAATTTTAGATCTCAAATGACCTCAGACACTACCTGTTGGTAAATTTCATGTTTGGTTTCTGATCTGGCTGAATGTTTCTTAATCCTTTCTTTCTCTCTGGTTCAGCTTTCCTAGCATTGACTTTTACCTAAATTTTTAAGTCTCCTTGCAACTGGCAGTGCCAAGGAATCCTGTCTGAGTCTACCTACATTGGGTTAATAAAAGTAGTAACACCTAGTAAGAGTGATCAAGAGAAAAACAGAAAAAAACAAAAATTACTAATATCAGGAATAAAACAAGGGACACCACTAGAAGTGCAAGAGAAATTTAAAGAATAAGAAGGTGAATAACTTTGTTAATAAATTCAACAATTTAGATGAAATGGACAAATTCTTGAATGAATTTTGAAAACAAACATGACAATAAAGAACAATTCTGATAGCCTCATGTTAAGAATTGTAAAGGATCTAAGATTTTATCCTAATTGCAAGCTAACAAGTTAGTAACGCTTTCAAGGAAAGAAAATACAAGACCTCTAGGTCAGAGATAAACAACGGTATTTTACTCATAGCAATGGTAATACATTACACTTTTTAAAACATTATTTTCTTACAATTTATTTTTATTTGAATGTATGTATGTATAATTTTAAAAATTGAATAATTTTCTCAGTATGTAAAAAAAGCTGTCATTGGAGCCACTGATGACAGGACATTTTTTAAAAGCTATTTTAGCAAAGAAACTGCAAAAAGAAAACAGGAGAAAAAAATTGGCAATCAAAATGTTCAAAGGAAACAGCAAAACTGCTGTTGAAACCACCATTTCCTTTGAGTTGAGCAACTTCAAAATAATGTTTCTCAGAAGTGTGAAATTAAGCTAAAAATGTTTAGCTGAATAATATAAACATTAATACAATGTTATCGCACTATATGGCCTACATTATCTCTTTGACTATTTACATCATGTATTTCCCCCCTGTAATATAAACACTCAGATGCCTGACAAATTTAGATGCCTAACAAGTTTAACTCATGAATGACTAAATCTAGCAGTGCTATTCAAAATCATGTAAGTACTTATACATACCAGCATTACCTATTAATTTTATTTATTTCTGCATGTTTATTTAGAAATTATCATGGGAACCAGCCCCCAATATTTCAAGGTAGGTTCTTTTCTATTTTCCCTAAGTGTCAGCTGGTCTGAGAAATAAAGAGACTACAAAAGAAAGAAATTTTACAGGTGGGTCTCCGGGGGTGACATCACATGTCGGAAGGTTCTGTGATGCCCCTGACCTGCAAAACCAGCAAGTTTTTATTATGGATTTCAAAAGGGGAGTGGCGTATGAATAGGGAGTGGGTCACAGAGATCACAGGCTTCAAAGGCAATAAAGTATCACAAGGGCAGAGAGGCAGAGCGAGATCACAAGGCCAGGGTGAAACTGGAATTACTGATGAAGGTCCATGTCCCGCTGGGCACACATTGTCATTGATAAACATCTTAACAGGAAACAGGGTCCCAGAGCAGACAACCGGTCTGACTAGAATTTCGCCAGGCTGGAATTTCCCAATCCTAACAAGCCTGGGGGCGCTGCAGGAGACCAGGGTGTATTTCATCCTTTATCTACAACTGTATAAGACAGACACTCCCAGAGCGGCCATTTTAGAGACCTCTCCCTGGGAATGCATTCGTTTTCCCAGGGTTATTCCTTGCTGAGAAAAGAATTCAGCGATATTTCTCCTATTCACTTTCTGGAAGAAGAGAAATATGACTCTGTTCTGCCTGGCCTGCAGGCAGTCAGACTTTATGGTTATCTCCCTTGTTCCCTGAAAATCACTGTTATCCTGTTCTTTTCAAGGTGCCCAGATTTCATATTGTTCAAACACACATGCTTTTCAATTTGTGCAGATAACACAATCATCACAGGGTCCTGAGGTGACATACATCTTCAGCTTACAAAGATGATGGGATTAAGAGATTAAAGACAGGCATAGGAAATTATAAGAGTATTGATTGGGGAAGTGATAAATGTCCATGAAATCTTCACAATTTATGTCCAGAGATTGCAGTAAAGACAGATGTAGGAAATTATAAAAGTATTAATTTGGGGAACTAACAAATGTCCATGAAATCTTCACAATTTATGTTATTCTGCCGTGGCTTCAGCTGGTCCCTCCATTTGGGTTCCCTGACTTCCCACAACAAGAAAGAATATCCTATTGGAATTTATAATAATTTTAAAAATTTAGCCATCATAATTATCTTAGGATAATTGGTATCAGAAGAGGATTGTTTAAAGCAAATATACTTTTTAAAAATAACTTCAACTTTTAGATTCAAGGGGTATATGTGCAGGTTTGTTTCATGAGTGTATTGTATGATGCTGAGATTTAGGGTATGAATGATCCTGTCATCCAAGTAGTGAGAATAGCACTCAATAGGTAGTTTTTCAATCATCCCCCTTCTCTCTTTCTCCCCCACTCTAGTATTCCCCAGTGTCTATTGTTCCCGTCTTTATATCCATGTGTACCGAATGCTTAGCTCCCACTTACAGGTGAGAACATGTGGTATTTGGTTTTCTGTTCCTATGTTAATTCACTTAGGATAATAGCTTCCAGCTGCATCCATGTTGCTTTGAAGGATGTGATTTCATTCTTTTTTATAGCTGCATAGTATTCTGTGATGTATACATACTATATTTTCTTTACCCAATCTACCATTGATGGGCACCCAGGTTGATTCTATGTTTCTGCTATTGTGAACAGTGCTGTGATTAACTTACTAGTGCATGTATCTTTTCTTGCAGAATGATTTATTTTCCTTTGGATATATATCCAGTAATGGGATTGCTGGGTGAAATTATAGTTCTAAGGTCTTTGAGAAATCACCGAACTGCTTTCCACAGTGGCTGAACAATGTATTAAGTGTTCCCTTTTCTCCACAGCCTCACTAGCATCTGTTGTTTTTCACTTTTTAATAATAGCCATTCTGACTGGTAAGCCACCCGGTTCTTCCTGTGAAGAGGTTGTGGTGCAGTGGGGACCTCTACACACCACATCCAAGCATATCTCCAGGCCTCTGGAGCACCCACTCTCCTAGATTAGAAGTTTAGGCTGCAACCCCCTCTCGGTACACAGAACTTGGGGCCAAGGAGGTTTCCCAGCTCCAAGCCTAGAGATACCTCTAAGTGCTTGGGGGCTGCTCCCTGGATTCTCCCTCAGCACTGGTTCTTGTGCCTGCCATTGGGGAATCTGTAGGCAGGCCTTCCCATTCTGGCACCACCCATCTTTCCCCACTTCCAGACACTAAGCAGGGAGCTCAGACCACTGTACACTCTGCCGATCAGCCTATTGCCTAAGGCAACAAAGAGTTTCTCCCGGTAAACAATGATCATGTATATACCCACCTACATTGGCTGCAGCCAGCTCTTACCCATAAATGCTATCTACTGGCTTGAATCTTAAACCACAAAGCCTAATATAAAACCCGCTGACAAAAGTGCATAGAGCTGTAGAAGCAAAGCCAAAACACCCTATTCAACATTCTCTACAGTCACACCCCCAAGGGTGAGGGGAAGGAAAATGGAAAAAAATTATAGGGAAAGTAACAAAAATAAATCCTACCCACATGAAAAGAATTATGAAAATTAGAAGTGCCAACATCTTCAGATGTGAAGGACCCAGTGCAAGAATTCTGGCATCAAGAAAAATCTGAATGGAGTGATACCACCAAAGCATCACACTAGCTCTTCTGCAGTGGTCTCTAATTAAAATGGAAACTCAGACATTACAGATAAATAATTCAAAGCATAGATTGCAAGGAAGTTCAGCAAGATTCAAGGCAAGGTTAAAAATCACCACAGAGGAGCTTTGAAAGCATTCCAGGAAATGAAGGAAGAGATAAGCATCTTTATACAGAAATCAATCAGAGCTTCCAGAATTGAAAAACTAACTTAAGGAATTTCAAAGTAAAATGAAAGGCTTTATCAATAGACTAGACCAAGCAGATGAAAGAATCTTAGAGTTTGAAGACCAGTCTTTCAAACTAATCTAGTCAGACAGAAATAAAGAAAAAAGAATTTTTAAAAATGAACAAAGTCTTCAAGAAATATGGGATTATGTAAAGCTGCCAAACCTATGACTTATTAGCATTCCTGAGAAAGGAGAAAAGGTAAACAAACTGGAAAACATGTCTGAGAGAATAATTCAACAAAACTTTCTTAATCTCGCTAGAGAGGCAGACATCCAGATACAAGAAATCCAGAGAACACCTGTGAGATACTATACAAAATGAACATCACCAAGGCATATGTCACCATATTGTCCAACGTCAATATTGAATAAAAAAATCTCAAAGGCAGCTAGAGGAAAAGGTCAGATTATTTACAAAGCAAACCCCATCAAGCTAACATACTTCTCAGACTTACAAACCAGAAGAGATCTGGGAGCCTATTTTCAGCATTCTTAAAAGAAATTCCAATCAAGAATTTCATATCCCACCAAACTAAGCTTCATACATAAAGGAGAAATGAAGTCTTTTCTGAACAAACAACCACAAAGGGAATTTATTACTAAACCAACCTCACAAGAGATCGTTTTATTTTTTTTTACTTTAAGTTCTGGGATACATGTGTAGAACATGCAGCTTTGTTACATAGCAATACATGTGACATAGTCGTTTGCTGTACCTATCAACCTATCATCTAGGTTTTAAGCCCCGCATGCATTAGATATTTGTCCTAATGCTCTCCCTCCCCTTCCCCTGACCCCAGGACAGGCCCCAGTGTGTGGTGTTCCCCTCCCTGTGTCCATGTGTTCTCATTGTTCAACTCCCACTTATGAGTGAGAGCATGCGGTGTTTGGTTTTCTGTTCCTGTGTTAGTTTGCTGAGGAAGATGGCTTCCAGCTTCATCCATGTACCTGAAAAGGAAGTGAACTCATTCTTTTTTATGGCTGCATGGTATTCCTGGTATATATGTGCCACATTTTCTTTATCCAGTCTATCATTGATGGGCATTTGGGTTGGTTCCAATTCTTTGCTATTGTAAATAGTGCTGCAATAAACGTATGTGTGCATGTGTCTTTATAGCAGAATTATTTATAATCCTTTGGGTATATACCCAGTAATGAGATTGCTGGGTTAAATGGTATTTCTGGTTCTAGATCCTTGAGGAATACCGCACTGTCTTCCACAATGGTTGAACTAATTTACACTCCCACCAATAGTGTAAAAGTGTTTGTTTCTCCACACCCTCTCCAGCATCTATTGTTTCCTGACTTTTTAATGATCTCCATTCTAACTGGCATGAGACGGTATCTCATTGTGGTTTTGATTTGCAGTTCTCTAATGACCAGTGATGATGAGCTTTTTTTCCATATGTTTGTTTGCCATATAAATATCTTCTTTTGAGAAGTGTCTGTTAATATCCTTTGCACACTTTTTGATGGGGTTGCTTTTTTCTTGTAAATTTGTTTAAGTTCCTTGTTAGACCTTTGTCAGATGGATAGATTGCAAACATTTTCTCCCATTCTGTAGGTTGCCTGTTCACTCTGATAGTTTATTTTGCTGTGCAGAAGCTCTTAAATGTAATTAGATCCCATTTGTCAGTTTTGGCTTTTGTTGCCATGGCTTTTGGTGTTTTAGTCATGAAGTCTTTGCCCATGCCTATATCCTGAATGGTATTGCCTAGATTTTTTTTCTAGGGTTTTTGTGGTTTTAGGTTTTACATTTAAGTTTTTAATCCATATTGGGTTAATTTTTGTATAAAGTGTAAGGAAGGGGTCCAGCTTCTGTTTTCTCCATATGGATAGCCAGTTTTCCCAGCACCATTTATTAAATAGGGCATCCTTTCCCCATTGCTTGTTTCTGTCAGGTTTGTTGAAGATTAGATGCTTGTAGATGTGTGGTGTTATTTCTGAGATTTCTTTTCTGTTCCATTGGTCTATATATCTGTTTTGGTACCAGTACTATGCTGTTTTGGTTACTGTAGCCCTGCAGTATAGTTTGAAGTCAGATAGAATGATGCCTCCAGCTTTGTTCTTTTTGCTTAGGATTGCCTTGGCTATATGCGCACTTTTTTGGTTCCATATGAAGTTTAAAGTAGTGTTTTTCTAATTCTGTGAAGAAAGTCAATTGTAGCTTGATGAGAATAGCATTGAATCTACAAATTACTCTGGGCAATATGGCCATTTTCATGATATTGATTCTTCCTATCTGTCAGCATGGAATTGTTTACCATTTGTTTGTGTCTTCTCTTATTTCCTTGAGCAGCTGTTTGTGGTTCTCCTTGAAGAGGTCCTTCTCATCCCTTGTAAGTTGTATTCCTAGGTGTTTTATTCTCTTTGTAGCAATTGTGAATGGGAGATCACTCATGATTTGTCTCTCTGCTTGTCTATTATTGATGTATAGGAATGCTTGTGATTTTTGCACATTGATTTTGTATCCTGAGACTTTGCTGAAGTTGCTTATAAGCTTAAGGAGTTTTGGGGCTGAGACAATGGGGTTTTCTTAATATACAATCATATCATCTGCAAACGGAGACAATTTGACTTCCTCTCTTCCTATTTGAATATGCTTTATTTCTTTCTCTTGCCTGACTGCCCTGGCCAGAACTTCCAATACTATGTTGAATAGGAGTGGTGAGAGAGGGCATCCTTGCCTTGTGCCAGTTTTCAAAGGGAATGCTTCCAGTTTTTGCCCATTCAGTATGATATTGGCTTTGGGTTTGTCATAAATAGCTCTTATTATTTTGAGATATGTTCCATCAATACCTAGTTTGTTGAGAGTTTTTAGCATGAAGGGGTGTTGAATTTTATCAAAGGCCTTTTCTGCATCTATTGAGATAATCATGTGGTTTTTGTCATTGGTTCTGTTTATGTGATGGCCTACATTTATTGATTTGCATATGTTAAACTAGCCTTGCATCCCAGGGATGAAGTCAACTTGATCATGGTGGATAAGCTTACTGATGTGCTGCTGGGTTCAATTTTCCAGTATTTTATTGAGGATTTTCACATCAATGTTCATCAAGGATATTTGTGTGAAAGTTTCTTTTTTTGTTGTGTCCCTGCCAGGTTTTGGAATCAGGATGATGCTGGCCTTATAAAAGGAATTAGGGAGGATTCCCTCTTTTTCTATTTGGAATAGTTTCAGAAGCAATGGTACCAGCTACTCTTTGTACCTGTCATAGAATTCAGCTGTGAATCTGTCTGGTCCTGGGCTTTTTTTTTTTTTTTTGGTTGGTAGGCTATTAATTACTGCCTCAATTTGAGAACTTATTATTAGTCTATTCAGGGATTCGACTTCTTCCTGGTTTCGTCTTGGGAGGGTGTATGTGTCCAGGAATTTATCAGTTTCTTCTAGATTTTCTAGTTTATTTGTGTAGAGGTCTTTATAGTACACTCCAATGGTAGTTTGTATTTCTGTAGGATCAGTGGTGATATTCCCTTTGTCATTTTTTATTGTGTCTATTTGATTCTTCTCTCTTACCTTCATTAGTCTAGCTAGCAGTCTATCTATTTTGTTAATATTTGCATAAAAACAGCTCCTGGATTTACTGCTTTTTGATGGGTTTTCGTGTCTCTATCTCCTTCAGTTCTGCTCTGATCTTAGTTATTTCTTGTCTTCTGCTAGCTTTTGAATTTGTTTGCTCTTGCTTCTTTAGTTCTTTTGATTGTGATGTGAGGGTGTTGATTTCAGATCTTTTCAGCTTTCTGATGTGGACATTTAGTGCTATGAATTTCCCTCTTAACACTGCTTTAGCTGTGTCCCATAGATTCTGGTATGTTGTCTCTTTGTATTCATTGGTTTCAAATAACTTCATTATTTCTGCCTTAATTTCATTATTTACCAAGTTATCATTCAGGAGCAGGTTGTTCAATTTCCATGTAGTTGTGTAGTTTTTAGTGAGTTTATTAATTCTGAGTTCTAATTTGATTGCACTGTGGTCTGAGAGACTGTTATGATTTCCGTTCTTTTGTGTTTGCTGAGGGGTGTTTTACTTCCAGTTATGTGGTCAATTTCAGAGTAGGTGCCATGTGGCACTGAGAAGAATGTATATTCTGTTGTTTTGGGGTGGAGAGTCCTGCAGATATCTATCAGGTCCACTTGATCCAGAGCTGAGTTCACCTTCTGGGTATCTTTGTTAATTTTCTGTCTCGTTGATCTGTGTAATATTGACAGCGGGGTGTTAAAGTCTCCCACTATTATTTTGTGGGAGTCTATCTTTTTGTAGGTCTCTAAGAACTTGTTTTATGAATCTGGGTGCTCCTTGTTGGGTGCATATACATTTAGCATAGTTAGCTCTTCTTGTTGCATTGATCCCTTTTCCATTATGTAATCCCTTGTCTTTTTTTTATCTTTCTTGGTTTAAAGTCTGTATTATCAGAGACTAGGATTGCAACCCTGCTTTGTTCTGTTTTCCATTTGCTTGGTAAATATTCCTCCATCCCTTTATTTTGGGCCTGTGTGTGTCTTTGCATGTGAGATGTGTCTCCTGAATACAGCACACTGATGGGTCTTGACTCGTTATCCAATTTCTCAGTCTTTGTCTTTTAGTTGAGGCATTTAGCCCATTTACATTTAAGGTTAATATTATGTGTGAATTTGATCCTGTCATTATGATGCTAGCTGATTATTTTGCTCATTAGTTGATGCAGTTTCTTCACAGTGTCATTGATCCTTTATATTTTGGTATGTTTTTGCAGTGGGTGGTACTGGTTTTTTCTTTCCATATTTAGTGCTTCCTTCAGGAGCTCTTGTATGGCAGGCCTGGTGGTGACAAAATCCCATAGCATTTGCCTGTCTGGAAAGGATTTTATTTCTCCTTCATTTATAAAGCTTAGTTTGGCTGGATATGAAATTCTGGGTTGAAAATTCTTTTCTTTAAGAATGTTGAATATTGGCCCCACTCTTTTCTGGCTTGTAGGGCTTCTGCAGAGAAATCCACTGTTAGTCTGATGGGCTTCCCTTTGTAGGTGACCTGACCTTTCTCTCTGGCTGCCCTTAACATTTTTCTCTTCATTTCAAACTTGGAGAATCTGATGATTATGTGTGTTGGGGTTGCTCTTCTCGAAGAGTATCTTAGTCGTGTGTTCTGTATTTCCTGAATTTGAGTGTTGGTCTGTCTTGCTAGGCTGGGGACGTTCTCCTGGATAATATCCTGAAGTGTGTTTTCCAACTTGCTTCCATGCTCCCCGTCACTTTCCAGTACACCAGTCAATTGTAGGTTTGGTCTTTTCACGTAGTCCCATATTTCTTGGCGGCTTTGTTCATTTCTTTTCATTCTTTTTTGTCTAATCTTGTCTTCATGCCTTATTTCAGTAAGGTGATCTTCAATCTCTAATAGCCTTTCTTCCGCTTGATCAATTCAACTATTGATACTTGTGTATGCTTCATGAAGTTCTCATGCTGTGTTTTTCAGCTCCATCAGGTCATTTATGTTCCTCTCTAAACTGGTTATTCTAGTTAGCAGTTCCTGTAACTTTTTATCAAGGTTCTTAGCTTCCTTGCATTGGGTTAGAACATGCTTCTTTAGCTCAGAGGAGTTTGTTATTACCCACCTTCTGAAGCCTACTTCTTTCAATTCATCAATCTCATTCTCCATCCAGTTTTGTGCCCTTGCTGGAGAGGAGTTGCGATCATTTGGATGAGAAGAGGCATTCTGATTTTTGGAATTTTCAGCATTTTTCACTGGTTTTTCCTCATCTTCGTGGATTTATCTACCTTTGATCTTTGAGGATGATGATCTTTGGTTGGGGTTTCTGTGTGGGGGTCTTTTTTATTGATATTGATGTTATTGCTTTCTGTTTGTTAGCTTTTCTTCTAACAGTCAGGCCCCTCTTCTTCATGTCTGCTGCACTTTGCTGGAGGTCCACTCCAGACCCTATCCGTGTGGGTATCACCAGTGGAGGCTGCAGAACAGCAAAGATTGCTGCCTGCTCTTTCACCTGGAAGCTTTGTCCCAGTGGGGTACCAGCCTGATGCCAGCCAGAGCTCTCCTGTATGAAATGTCTGTCAACCCCTGTTGGGAGGTGTCTCCCAGTCAGGAGGCACGGGGGTCAGGGACCCACTTGAAGGGGCAGTCTGTTCCTTAGAGCTGGCGCACTGTGCTGGGAGAATCCCCTTTGTCAGAATCAGCTGCTGTCTTCAGAGCCAGCAGGCAGGAAAGATTGAGTCCACTGAAGCTGTGCCCACAGCCACCCCTCTGCACTGGTGCTCTGTCCCAGGGAGATGAGAGTTTCATCAGTAAGCCTGTGACTGGGACTGCTGCCTTTCCTTCAGAGATGCCCTGCCCAGTGAGGAATAATCTAGAGAAGCAGTCTGGCCACAGCCACTTTACTGCGCTGTGGTGAATTCCACCCAGTCCACACCTCCCAGTCTCCTTAGCACTGTCAGGGGAAAACTGCCTACTAAAGCTTTGGTAATGGTAGATGCCCCTCCCCCCACCAAGCTCGATCCTCCCAGGTCTACTCCATACTGCTGTGCTGGCAGTGAGAATTTCAAGCCAGTGGTTCTTAGCTTGCTGGGCTCTGTGGGAGTGGGACCCGCTGAGTGAGACCACTTGGCTTCCTGGCTTCAGCCCCATTTCCAAGGGAGCATATGGTTCGTCTCGCTGGGGTTCCCAGGCACCACTAGGGTACAAAAATAACTTCCGCAGCTAGCTCGATGCCTGCCCAAACAGCTGCCCAGTTTTGTGCTTGAAACCCAGGGCCCTGGTGGCGTAGGCACATGAGGGAATCGCCTGATCTGTAGATTTCAAAAAACGTGGGAAAAACGTAGTACCAGGCTGGGTAGCACAGTCCCTCATGGCTTCCCTTGGCTAGGGCAGGGAGGGCCCTGGCTCCTTGCACTTCCCAGGTGAAGCAATGCCCCACCCTGCTTCTGCTTGCTCTACGTGGGTTGCACCCACTGCCTAACTAGTCCCAATGAGATAAACTGGTTACCTCAGTTGGAAATACAGAAATCCACCTGCCTTCTGCACTGGTCTAGCTGGGAGCTGCAGACTGGAGCTGTTTCTATTTAGCCATCTTGGTCCCTCCCCAACAAGGGATCCTTATGGGAGTTCTAAACATGAAAACAAAAGAATATCTGCTACCACAAAAACACACTTAAGTACATAGCCCTCAGACCCTATAAAGCAACTACACAAGAGACCACAAAGCAATCAGCTGACAACTTCACAATAGTTTCAAAGCCTTACATATCAATATTAACTTTGAATGTAAACCTTCTAAATGCTCCACTTAAAGGGCAAAGAGTGGCAAGTTGGATGAAAAAAACAAGACTCATCCACCCATCCGACTGGTGTCTTCAAGAGATCCGTCTCACATGTAACAGCACTCACAGGCTCAAAGTAAAGGGATAGAGAAAGATTTATTATGCAAACAGAAAACAAAACAGAGGAGGGGTTATTTTTATATCAGCAAAATTATGTGGTAACACAGAACAGCGTTTTTCACTTCACAGTTGATTTTCAAAGTAAAGAGAGTCATTAAAAAGTATGTATCAGAGATCTTCATCAATTTTCCAAAGAACTCTTACCATCATTTGACATTTAAATTATTCTTTTTTTTTTTTTTTGAGATGGAGTCTTGCTCTGTTGCCAGGCTGGAGTGCAATGGCGCTATCTCGGCTCACTGCGACCTCCACCTCCTGGGTTCAAGTGATTCTCCTGCCTCAGCCTCCCTAGTAGCTGGGACTATAGGTGCGCACCACCATACCTGCCTAATTTTTTGTATTTTTAGTAGAGACAGGGTTTGACCATGTTAGCCAGGATGGTCTTGATCTCCTGACCTCATGATCCGCCTGCCTCGGCCTCCCAAAGTGCTGGGATTACAGGCATGAGCCACCGCACCTGGCCTAAATTATTCTCTTTTCAAGGACTAATGGAGTTACTATTTTGTTTGCTCTCCTTCAAATGTTAATTGGTTTAATTCTAGTTAGCTGTTTGTCAACAGGTTTCGAATTTCTAAAATCCTGAATCTCTTGTGAGAATTGTGATGTCTTTTTGCAAGTTATTTATTATATCACATTTGCCTTGTATTGTTGGACATTAACAGCACTGTACAATTAATAAGAAACCTACAAAGATGTTGACTCTTCCCACTAGAATTAATTGTAATTATATAGAAAGTAATTGTATAAGTTTGTTAGTAAATTTGTGAGTGTGTTATGACTACTTTCGTTGCCCTATGCCACCTTGTACAGGTGGTGACTTGAATGTGAATACTTGGAAAATGAGGATGCCATATTTTAATTGTTATAAATGTATATGTTAGTACAGAATTTTATAGAGTCTCCTGATAACGGGGCATGGTGGCATTATCACCTTTTTTTCTTTTTATTTAAGTTGTGGGATACATGTGCAGAATGTGCAGGTTTGTTACATAGGTATACATGTGCCATGGTGGTTTGCTGCACCTATCAACCCATCAAATTCTATGTTTTAAGCCCCGCATACATTAGGTATTTGTCCTAATGCTCTCCCTCCCCTTGCCTCCCACCCTCTGACAGGCCCCGATGTGTGATGTTCCCCTCCCTGTGTCCACGTATTCTCATTGTTCAACTCCCATTTATGAGTAAGAACATGCGGTATTTGGTTTTCTGTTCCTGTATCACCTACTTTTTAATTATAATCTCATATTGACAAGAAACTTGAATTTACCAGATAGTTTGGAGAAGTATAAAAACAGAATATTCTTAATATAAATTTATACACCACGTTCCCAGTGAGAAATATTCCTAAGCTCTTTCAGCCTATACTTTTGTGTTAATCACTGTATCTATACTGAGCATTATGGATTTTTTATTTAAAACAGCATGGTTTAATAGAAACATAAGCCACACATTTTATTTCACATTTTCTTTTAGCTACATTAAAAAGGTAAAAAGCAAGTAAAGTTAATTCTCATTTTATTATTTAATCTAATGTATCCAAAATATTTCAACTTATAATCAATATAAAAACTATTAAGGAGATATTTTACATTCTTTGTTTCATACCAAGTCTTTAAAATCTGAAGTATATTATGCATGTAGAGCACATCTCAATTTAGACTAGCCACATTTCAACTGCTCAGTAACCCCATGTGACTAGTAGCTCTAGTATGAGATAGCACAGATGTATTTATTTAATTATTTAGGGACAAGGTCTTGCTGTGTCACCCAGGCTGGAGTGCAGTGGTGTGATCTCAGCTCACTGCAACTTCTGCCTCTGAGGCTCAAGTGATCCTCCCGCCTCAGCCTTCCAAGTCGCTGGGACTACAGGCACCTGCCACCACACCCAGCTAATTAAAAAACATTTTTTTTTTTTTTTTTTTTTTTTTGTAGAGATGGGTTCTCACTATATTGCCTAGGCTGGTCTCGAACTCCTGGGCTCAAGAGATTCTCTCACCTTGGCCTCCCAAAGTGCTGGGATTACAGGAATGAGCCACTGTGCCCAGCCCTGATAGCACAGATTTAAGGATTGAGCTCTTACAAGTGGCTCATCTCTAGAGCACGTCTTATTCAATATTCAAGTACTTTTCTTAATATGATTTGAGGTAGGGATTCTGTATTAGAGGGTGTTATGAACTCAATGTTTGTGTCTTTCTAAAAATTCCTACGTTGAAACCTTAATCCCTAAGGTTGGGCCTTTGAGAGGTTATTAGGTTCAGATGAGGTCATGAGGGTGGAGCCCCTATACGGCATTAGTGTCCTTATAAGAAGAGGAAGAGACTAGAGCTCAGTTGCTCTGCCATGTGAGTACACAGCGAGAAGTTGACCATCTACAAGCCAGGAAGATGGCCCCCATTTGGAACTGAATTAGCCATCACCCAGATGGTTGTATGGGACTTCCCAGCCTCCAAAATAGTCAGAAATAAATTCTGTTGTTTAAACCACCCAGTCTACTAAGACAGAGGGAAAGACCGAAATGTAATACAATGACAACAACCACTGCCTCACAATTTGGTGGAAAAGAAAGACGTATGAAAACGAAATAAGGGAACAAAGAAGAAAGGCGATTCTTACGGGAGTCAGAAAATACAACATAGAAAAGGTAACATTTGAGTTGGGCCTTGAAGGATAAGCAGGAGTTTGATAGAGAAATAAGTAAGCAAATGGCATTCCAGTCAAAAGGAACAGAAACACTGAGTAACTGAAGAACCTGTATTTTGTGTCTGCTAAGAAGTTTAAAAAACCTGAACTACAAGAGACAGGGTCTCCAGGGTGGGTAGGTGGCCTGAGGATTGCAAAGTGTTTGTATCAACCACTGCTCAAAATAAGAAGATCTGATTTAAAATGTTGCTGAGCAACAACAAACTGATGATGCCCACAGCATAGTTTTTCTATTTTCTGTAGTTTTACTTAAACTAAAACAAATTTTTTTTAATCAAGGATTGGCTAAGTTAGCTCATAGGAAGATCCTAAGATTACTGAAGATTCTTGTGTGAACATGCTTGCGACTTTTGATTATTGGCTTCCAGGCTAGATAAAGATATAAAGACAGCTTGGGACTGGGGATGCTGGGCTGACAGTATAAGATAATGAGAAGCCTGAAAGTCACCATACATATGGAGAAAAGATTTAGCAGCAGGGACAGTGAAGAGCTTAAGAAGTAGAAGGGAGACTCTTGTGGCCAAAGGACAGGAATTGGGGGATAGAGCAATTCTACTTGGTAAGACCCAGGGTATGTCTGTTTGGAAGATTTGTTAACATTGCTGGAATAGAATTGCTTAAAGAAGTTTGTGGGCAGAGTGTTAGATATTCAAATGCAGATAAAGACTATAGGCCAAGGCTCAAGACCTCAGGGGTTATAAAGAAGGTCTGAGGATGAAGATGGTATGAGTAGAACTGGTATAAATGAATGTCAGACATCTCAAATGTTACTGAGGGAATGCTGTGTAGCAATGTCAGCATTGGAAAACTGGGAGCTATTTGGTCCCAACATCCCAAGATACAGTGAATGAGAGTGAATGAATGCCTTTAGCCAAGCGCTTTACCAGGGATAGGACGTCAAAAGGGCAAAGAGAAGCAGCATGGCACAAAATAGTGGTTCTCAAACTTTGACTGTGTCCCAAAAACACTGGGGAGAGCCGATTAAAAGCACCGATTGGTTGTTATGGTGTGGACATTCAAATGCATGTCAAGAGAGCCATTGTTATAAAGAAGAGAGACCGCCTGGGGTTTTTTTTTTTTTCTTGCTAGGGTATGCAATTTCTTTCTTTTTTTTTCAATTATACTTTAAGTTTTAGGGTACATGTGCACAACGTGCAGGTTAGTTACATATGTATACATGCGCCATGTTGGTGCGCTGCACCCATTAACTTGTCATTTAACATTAGGTATATCTCCTGGGTTTAATTCACTTCTTTCACTCACTAACAGTGTAAACTTGAGCAAATTACTTAACTCTGACTCTCAGCTTCCTCATCAAACATGTAGCTATATAATACATACATTTCAGGATCATAACGAAGTAAACTTGAACTGAGAACATGCCAGACTATAGTGTGCCATGAAAAGTATCAGGCCGATGGTCACGGGACACAGTGAACTGGCAGAAGATAGCTACTCTCTGTAAGTGGAATAGTCTAGTATGTAACTATTAGGCTTCCCCAATCTTGGGCAGGGTCGAAGCTATAGGGCAGAAGATGAAGGCTCATTGCTATATATCTATGCTAAAGAAAGTTTTAAAAAATATTTAAAGACAAGTATAACAATGTTTAAGAGTTTAGAAGTTCATGTTACTCAATTCTCATCTTAATATTATCTTTAAATCCATATTTTTAAAAGTGACTTCTCTGTTTAAGTATGAGCAGCACAGATTCCAGCAGTGCTTATAAATTAGGTGTGGTGGCTCACTCTCTTTTTATATCACATCAGTTAAAGAAAAAAGCAGAAGTTCCACAGCAGCTTCCTCTTTGAAGAAACTGCCTCAAGGGCAGCTAAAGTAAGGAAGTGATAAAGTAAAATCTAGCATGCAAAGGGAGAGAAAATATAAGTACTTAAATATATGAATTAACAACATGCCTTCTTTGACCAGACTTCAGTCAGGCTCCTCTAAGCCCTCTTCTCAACTGGGGCTTGATCTTGGCCCTCATCATTCCCAGACCTGCATAGCCTGGTTTTAGCAAGAATCCTGTTAAGTCAATTTAGAGGAAATATTTCCCATTCTTTTCTGATCATCCTGGCCTGACCGCAGCAAGAACCCTGTTAGATGAGTTTAACAAGAATCCCCTCATCCTTGATGTCTCTTCTTAGTGATTTTTCCATCCAGACTCTGCTCCTTGGCTATAAATCCCCAAGTGTCTTTATCGTACTCAGAATTGAGCCCAATTCTATACTAAGGCCTTTTTTTCCTTTTTGCAATTTTTTAAAATAAAATATATCTTTACCACTTTAGTGTCTGGCTCTGGTTCTCTTTAATAATATGTACAACCAGATACATGTATACATATAGTTCCAATGTTTAATATATGGTCTCAGTGCCCATATGCTGATGATGAAAGTATAAATTAGTACAAGTTCCAAGAGAGTAACTGGATACTCTACATTTGAAATCTTTAAAACACTCATATCCTATTCACTTATTCTAATTCTAGGAATCAATCTTACTAAATATAGAATATATAAAGATATCCACAGCATTATTAAAATAAGGAATAATTGAAACAGATCTGAATATTCAACAATAATGTGTTATGTAAATTATGCATTCATTTGCAAAAACATTGTATAGTCCTTAAAATGTTTATGAAAGATTATAATAACCAAAAACATGCTTATGAAATAATAAATACAAAAAGCAAGATACAGGATTGCATGAAATTATGCCCTCGATTAACAAACAAAATTTCTATGTGTGTATTATATATTTCAAATATATATATGAGAATATGTATAAAAGATTGATAGAGGCACATGAAAATGTTGAGAGGGAGTCTTCTGAGATGTATTGATAATTTTTGTTTCCTTTATCCCCAAAAAGTCAGGATTCTTAGTTGCAAAGAAAAGAAGCCACTAAAGTGGAAATGATATTTATTAAAAGCAATTAGGTAGCTGACAGAATGATTAAGGCGGCTGAGAACAGTCTCTAGGCTAAGCTTCCTAGGGCAATGCCCACCAAGTCTGCTGTAAAGAAAATCATCACTGTTGCTGCTATTGAGTAATAAATGTCAGCAACAGAACTTTTCTAAAACTTCTGGCTACCTGCTCTTCTAGAAAACTACCACCTCTTAAACTACTACCCCCAAAAGCTGTACATGTCTGTTGTCAACTATCTGTCAAAAATAGAAGCTTCATGCAGAGGCTGTTTCTTCATGTTGCTCATCTCCAGATCAAAGTCTTAGAGAGCTCCGAGCAGAGGAGTGACATAGCTGACTTATATTGTAAGAGGATAATTCTGACTGCCAGAGGAGCATATATGTAAAGGGCAAGGAAGGAAGCAAGGATAGTACTTAGAAGCTATTGTAATAATCCAGGCAAGAAGTAAAGCCAGGTTGGTAGAAGGTGGAGCGATGAGAAATAGTCGAATTCTGGATACATTTCAAAGATAGACATAATAGGATTTGCTAATTGCCTACATTTGAGGAGTGAGAGAAAGAAAATGCAGGAATAATCCCAAGATTTAGACTTGAGAATTTGGAAGATATTTTGATGACAATGTACTGAGATGAGGAAGACCTTGGGGCAGACGTGACAGGTAGCAGTTGAGTGCATGAGGTGAGCTCAAGGCTGGAAATAGAAATATGGAAAATGCCTTGCATAATAGCTGGCAACTAGTGGGATAGTGGGCAGGGATTTCCTGTTGGGTACAATTTTGGGCATATCTGGGCTTGCCTAATCAAAGTCCTATTTTCATGTAAATGAAGGAGCCTCCTAGGAAGAAAGTTGTGCTGAAATTGACCCAATAGAAAATTCTTTAGCCCTTGACAGAGAAGGAAGATTCTGAACAGCATGGATACCATCACTCGAATTTATCTCCTAACCCAAATTCTGTAGATAGGCAATCAGGGAAGATGTAAGTAAAAACTAAAGGGCGTCTGAGCATGTAGCACTGCCTTGGGGCTGACCCTATGGACTGACTTCTTGAGGCACCCCTAATAGAAACCCATGGAACCGTGGCCACACAAGAGATAAGTGTCTGGAAAAGTAGCATAAGCTCTTGGTGGAAATGGACTTCTTCACCAGTTAATGTAAAAGAAACCCTCAGACAACCTTTTGTGGGTGATTTTACAAGGTGTTGAGGTCCTATGTTAGGCAGTTGTAGGCAAAATCAGTGAGGTATGTATTACTATCCTAATCTGACACAGTTGGCTCCATTTGGGGAAGAAAGATCTGGTTGTAGTATATATTATCACTAATGAAAGGGATTGAGAAAAGAAAAGTAGTAAGAGTATAAAAGAATAGATTATTTCTGCTCTTACATCTGAGAAATTGAAAGGAAATATCACATAGCAGAATCCTTGGCAACCAGAAGAATTCAATGTAGCTATAGTTATGCTTGAATATACAAATATAATTAACCTAGTCCTGAGAACTGCATATAACCCAAAATCATCCAAGCTAGGCAAAAGATGTTAAAGTAAAAAATTAATTTTACAAAGCTATATATTTTTAAAAGGCAATTATTTTTGAAAATGATCCTTTGTTGGGTAGAGAAAGGGAATACATAATAAAGCTAAAAATGTCCAAACATACAACATAAAATTGTTGCAGTCTAATAACTAAAAAAGCCAATATTACTGTTTTGTACATTATTTTAGAAGAAATGAGTATATTTAGTAGGAGCATTGCTCTGCTCCAGTGTCATTGTATAAGAATTAACCTTGAATATCAAGTGGCATTTGCCCAACATTTTTCATCTGAATATCTAAAACTGTTTAAAAACTAATTATAAAACATCATTTATGGGTCATTAAATACATCTATTTCTAATAGGAAAATAAGTTATTTATTTAGACTATTCAAATGAATACCAAATGCAGTGTATAAAAAGTCACAAGGTAAAGAACCCGTCAAGAAACAAATGTAACACCATTGTGAGTAGTTTATATCAAAAATCCATTATTGATCTATAGCAATAATACTTACAGTGTCAAGGTATATTTTTTCCTAACTTGATTTTATTCTCTTGTCAAAATGTAATGCTATAAATATGAAAGTGTTCTAGGTTAAACGTAGCCTCAACTGTATGTATGTGTACTAGTCCATTTTCATCCTGCTGATAAAGACATACCCAGGACTGGGTAATTTATGAGGGAAAGGGCTAGGCGCAGTGGCTCACGCCTGTAATCCCAGCACTTTGGGAGGCAGTCAAGAGATGGAGACCATCCTGGCCAACATGGTGAAACCCCATTTCCACTAAAAATACAAAAAAATTAGCTGGGTGTGGTGGCATGTGCCTGTAGTCCCAGCTACTTGGGAGGCTGAGGCAGGAGAATCACTTGAACCCGGGAGACGGAGGTTGCAGCCAGCTGAGATCGCGCCACTGCACTCCAGCCTGGTGACAGAGGGAGACTCTGTCTCAAAAAAAAAAAAAAAAAAAAAAAAAAAAAGAAAAGAAAAGGAGGTTTAATGGACTCACAGTTCCATGTGGTTGGAGAGGCCTCACAATCATGGCAGAAAGCAAAAGGCATGTCTTACACAGCAGCAGGCAAGAGAATGAGAGCCAAGCAAAAAGGGAAACCCCTTATAAAACCATCAGATCTCATGAGACTTATTCACAACCATGACAAAAGTATGGGGGAAACCACCCCCCATGATTCAATTCTCTCCCACAGGGTCCCTCCCACAGCATGCGGAAATTATGGGAGCTACAATTCAAGATGAGATTTGTGTGGTGACACAGCCAAACCCTATCAGTATGGAATGCACTTATGCATACCTAGAGTAATAAAGGAAAAGAAATAATAATAATAGCTGGTATATATAGTACTTACCCTGTGTCAGGCACTACCTAATCTGTTTTTAGAAATAACTTCTTATTTAAATTTGTTTGTCAATCCAATGAAGGAGGTAATATTATCATTCCTATTTTACAGATAAGGAAACTAAAGGACAGAAAGACAAAATGCCCATTCATACACCTAGTACAGGGTATTTGATTTGAACCCAGACAGTCTAATGAACTTGTGCTCTTAACAACTACAGACAAGATTTGCAATGAGACCTTAAGTTAACATCTTACTAGTGTCATTCCCCTGGTCCAGTTATTTATCCTCTTTATGTCCCAATATTTTCATCTGTAAATAGGAATAATTTTGTGTATACACATACATATATATACACACATATATATGTCACAAGATTATTATGAGAGCATAGTGAGATAATGAATTTGAAAAGGTTTGGTGCTTGTCATCACTGCTGCCAACTGACCTAAGCTAACATGGCCTCAAATGTCAGGTTCCTTTGATAAATATTGAAGCCTCTTGCAGTTAGAGCTGAGTTATGCAAAGGCTATGTTCCCCTCCCTTACAAACCCAGTACCTGATAGTATGCTATTATGAAAGTAAGTCTTGGACAAATTTTGCTAAATGTCTTAACATTCATTAGCAAACAATTACAGAAACATTCCTGCTTTCTACTCTTAGACGCTCCAATGGTAAGCTCACTAAACAGACATTCTAAAGTTAAGACTAGCAGCCTTGAAGTCAAGGCAGAAAACGGGGACCTCTTGTGAGGTGGCAATTCCCTTGAACACTACACCAGCAGTAATAGAGATCTGAGGATGTCTGCTTCTTTATACTTCATTCATGCAATAGCAGGAGGCTGTGTTCAATCTCCCCACAAGCCATTCACCATGAAAATTACTCATTTTGCCAGTGAAAATGATTCTCTAACATGCCCTGTTCTAATTAACAAACTCTCAGGTATCAATTTCCATAACCATATCTGAAGTGTTAACCATCACCTTTGGAGTGTGGATTCTTGGTTAGAGTACTTCAGCACTAATTAACTGCTTCTAGAATATGGACTACAGTTAACTTGTACATTGTCACATACGTAAAACTAATTTATACCAAATTAAAGTATCATCACACAACAATGTAACAGTGACATGTTTGCTTAATAAATATAGCCCCTCCCTCTTTCTGAATCCTTTATCTTTGTCTATCCCCACACCCAACACATAGCCCCAGTAGAATAGGTGGCTAGAGGTTTTGGAGCCTAAATGTTTTTGGAATCTAATCAGGAAGTGTGGGATTATAGAAAATTCTATATCATTTCTCCCCAAGAAATAAAAAAGCTCATCATATATATAAATTGATATATTTAGAACAGTATAGCAAGGTTGAGATTTTTCCACATAATATAAATGATTATCTCTAGCTACACAAACTGTTGCTTTTTATAAGACACTTGAGTAAAGCTTGCGGGGATAGAGAGACATAGTCCATTATGCAGTATTACCCACAATACTGAAATTGTGGATATTCCTTTAGTCTTTTATCTATGCATGGGTTTATCAGGCAATGTATATGTATGAATTTGTGCATGATTTTAAAGATCCCATGACTCTCCAAAATAATTGCAGTTTATTTTATTACTATGAAAGATAGCATGTTCTTGCTGTAAAAAAATTAAACGATACAGAGAAGAATTAAAAAGAAAGTTAAAAATCTTTTAAAATGCTACCATGAGTGATGAGCACTAAAAACCAATCTCTCTGTCTTAACACACGTGCATAATTATCAAAGAGATCATGGTGAAGACTTGGGTTAAGAAGTGGAAAAAGTCATAGCAAAGTTCAAAGCCTTCTAAGCAGTGCAGGCTTACATTTGCTTCCAAGTAAAAGTTCCTGTTCTGTGGCAAACCACTTCTCTGGACTTTTGGTGCAAACGTGTAGTGTGAATTGAAAAGTTTTAGAGTTGTAGCTCTAAGGAGCTAACCTGGTCTGCACAATAACACAAAAATCATCTCTGTGACGGCAGACTTTCCCTTTTGCTGATTATTTTCAGGAAAGTAGAGAAAAAATATTAAATCATTTCAAGACCAAGATAACATTGCTCATTCTTGGGAGTTGTATGTGTATAACAGGGATTACGCAAGCAACCAAAAAAACCACTGATTTTGCTTGCTCGTGGGGTTTCCTCTTTCTTGTTGTTGTATTCAAAACTCAGTCTAGCTCACAGAGACCCAGAAGAAGATGAGAAGCAGGCCTTAGACATGGTTACCACTTCAAACTGGAGAAAGGTCTCTTTGTTTATTGTCACTACATTGATCAAAAAGTTGCCTATGAGACCTGGATAAGACACTGCTTATCTCAGATTCCTATAATGTAAAGACATGCTAGTAGAAATTAGGCAGCCTGGACAAAATTTGAATTTATGTATGAGTATTTTTAAGGTTATTTGTGTGTGTGTGGCAATAGTAATTCTGCCTTATGGTTCTGTAATGGTTTTTGTTTGTTTGGTTGGTTGGTTGGGCTTTTTTGAGATGGAGTTTCACTCTTGTTGCCTAGGCTAGAGTGCAATGACAATCTCAGTTTACTGCAACTCCGCCTCCCAGGTTCAAGCAATTCTCCTGCCTCAGCCTCGCAAGTAGCTGGGATTACAGGCATGTGCCACCATGCCAGGCTAATTTTGGTATTTCTAGTAGAGACAGGGTTTCACCATGTTGGTCAGGCTGGCCTTGCACAACTGACCTCAGATGATCCGCCCTCCTCAGCCTCCCAAAGTGCTGGGATTACAGGCGTGAGCCACCGCGCCTGGCCCGTATGTTTGTTTTTAATGATGGGGCCTCGCTCTGTCACCCAGGCTGGATTGCAGTGACCTGACTATAGCTCTTCACAGCCTCAAATTGTGGGGATCAAGCTATCCTCCCACCTCAACTTTCTGAGTAGGTGGGGCTACAGGTGTGCCTGGAATGTTTCTTTACTTTTTGTTTGCATTAGAAATATTTCCCCACCTCATTCCATTTTCCATCTCTCTTAATTTTCTAAAATACACGTGTTTTCTAAAACCAGGTCTAAACCCCACCTACAGCTAAAATCCTCCAATAACTTCCCATGACTTTGGTGATAAAATAAAAAATCATTAGCAGAATTGAGAAATCCTTCCTGATCTGACTCTTAACTTCTCTCCCCCAAGTGGCATGAAAGCATCATTTGGATTCTGAATTCCATGACACCAGGTATCAAGTTTTCTACCAGTCAGAATCACTACTTATTTACAGACCATATTTACAGAGGGAGACAATATGGAGAGGTTCTTGCTCTATTCTTGCCATAACACCATGTCTTCAATTTCACAACTAGATATATAGTTCCTATCCCTCTAATTCCCTTCTCCTCTCCAGCGCTTTTTCACTTGATCAACACCTAGCTGATTCTAGCCTCAGCAAAGACCTCACCTGCTGTATGTAGGCCGGCTCTGCCGTTTCCAGAATGGGTTAAGTATGCTCTCTTGTGTGTCCATATCTACCTGTGCTTTCCTATATCCAGATCTCCAACAGCCCCTGTTGTAACATCCTTGTCATCACCATCTCACAGCTCTTACCACTGTAAGCTCCTTGGGGCCAGTGACTGTGTTTTTATTTCTGTATTACTAAGGTGAATATACAAGGCAGGAATTTAATATTAGCTAGTTCATTTGATCCTGCCAAACCTCTGTAATTAAGGAAGCAGAAAAGGTCCCATAGTCTCATTCAATAGGTGGCTGAGGTTTAGAGAGTTTTGTATCCTGTCCAAGGTCTTACAGCTAGTTAGAAACAGAAACTAAATTCTCAACTTGAGTCCTGTATTCTTTCTACTATTCTCCCTCTCAATCCCTCTCTCTCTTTCTCTCTCTCTCTCTTTCTCTCCCTCTCTCTCTCTCACACACACACACACACACACACATACACGCTTACATGTTTCTACCATCGTGAATGAATTCTAGGTCAAGTTTATGATGTTAACCAGATATTCCAACCACTATGTGTTGATATGACTCTAAAAAGAAAAAGATTTCTGAAAGCATTTTGCGAGGCATTTATAGAAGTAAGAGATATTTTCATTTTATCACCGCAACCTCCATTAAAAATTGGAGACTATTATTCCTGGAGACTTCAGAATTTTCTTTGGAAATATCTCCCAATTCAAAAGGAAGTCTGACACAGCCTCATAAAAATCTATGTCGTAATAGGTGCTGTGTCACTGAAAACCACTGAAAAGACAGGGTTAAGAACACAAAGTGAGCTGCACACCATATATGGAGAAACCCGTTTCTTAAAACTAGTGATGAACTCATGCTCTGTTCTGTTTTCTCAAAGCTGAAGTCGGCTAGGTTTGCAAAGCTGTGGGCTGAGCACTCAGGCAATCACACTCTCAGAAACTGCGGCGGCTCTGGACTGCAGCCTCCCAAGGCTCCATGCCAGACAAAGCATGCGTGTCACACTTGCTACAATAGCCTGGATGGTTTCTTTTGTCTCCAATTATTCACACACAGCAAATATTTTGCCAGATATCGAAAATGAAGATTTCATCAAAGACTGCGTTCGAATCCATAACAAGTTCCGATCAGAGGTGAAACCAACAGCCAGTGATATGCTATACATGGTAAGGAAAATATCATTAATTGTGGCGTCAGTCAGTCAGAAACAACTAATGTGTATTGACTTTGGTGTTAATACCTTCGTAATACTGAATGATTTTTTTTTCATTGTGATTAATGTATGCAGTAAATTCACAGTCTGTGATCAAAACACATCCAGTTTAGCTCTGTCTACCCAACTGTTGTTATAAGCAAGTGCCACAGCACATTTTACTTCTCTTTGGACACTTCCTGTTTTCTGGTTTTCAGTGGATTTTACTTCTCTTTTTGTTATCTTCCTCCCTGTTAATTTTTGTGATTTGGTTTTCTTTTTTTTTTTTTTTTTTTGTCTCTAAATTTACTTTTTTTGCTGCTGACAAAGTACTGAGTTGCTCAGGTAGGCAGAATGGCATCTGGGGAAAGGATGGGATTTTGATTCAGTAAGGCTTGGGATTGAATTTCAGATCTGTGGCTTTAAGCTGGTTTTTAACCTTTCTGAACTTCTTAGGATATGGGCTGTTGTGGTTATGGAATAATGTTGTGAAACACGGCACACACTATTTTGCCCACAATTAGCCTTCAGTGAAATGTCAGTTTTCCTCACTTAGATTCTAAATTCCATGAAACTAAATTGTCACGTTTCCTACCAGCCCTACTCAGTGCTTGAAGACCATATTTATAGAGGACTCATATGCAGTGGTATCTTCTCTCCTTATCTCACCTCGTTTTCCATTCAAATTCCCACTGTACTCACCCCAGTTACATTTCAGATGAACCCCCTATTGTTTAATGTTTATTTTTGCAGACTTGGGACCCAGCACTAGCCCAAATTGCAAAAGCATGGGCCAGCAATTGCCAGTTTTCACATAATACACGGCTGAAGCCACCCCACAAGCTGCACCCAAACTTCACTTCACTGGGAGAGAACATCTGGACTGGGTCTGTGCCCATTTTTTCTGTGTCTTCCGCCATCACAAACTGGTATGACGAAATCCAGGACTATGACTTCAAGACTCGGATATGCAAAAAAGTCTGTGGCCACTACACTCAGGTAAGGATCTGCCCTATATTATCTTGAAACTGTCTTTTCAAGTATGAGGAGAAAAATTGTACTATGAAGTTAAGAAAATGTATAGTATGCTAGTATACCTGTAAATATAAGGGAGTTAAATAGAACAGCCTCCAAGAACAGAAAATAATGCTTGAAAAGTTTAGTTGTGTGAACTAAACACATAATAGGTAATATGTGAGGCCCACCAACTTGGACAGGCTTTGAACAATTCCTGTAACAGCTATTCTCCCATAGGACTTTATTCCATTTGTGAGAAATCAAAGAACCTTATGAGTGAAAGGATTTTCAGGTTCCAGCTGTAGCATGAGTTTTAAATGAAATTTGAGCCAATTGTTTTGGGACTATAAAATTGGAAGAAACAAGACTCTCAGACAGAAACATCAATAAGAACTGATGCTTCCACAACCTCTCATTCTCTCAAACATCGACTGAAAACCTACTGTGTGCCATGCACTAGGCACCACGCACGGTGCTACACAAGGAGGGAGAAAAAGTCAGTCCCAGGCCAACAGAGAGGCCAACGTGTAAACTTATATGAACCATTCTGAGGGTATTCTGCCCCCAGAATCCATATTATTAGTCCCAATAGCCACATTCAGAGCCACCCATTGAGTTTTTTTTTTTTTTTTTAATTTTTACTCAAGCTGATTCTGGCTCCCTAACCCTACCTCACATTTGCAGCATGATGGAAACAACTCTCTAGGGAGCATCTGTCATAATTGTCTTCAGACGCTGCCTTCCTGTCCTGGCTACATTTTGTTTATTTACTGTCACTTCCTGGCCATCCTTGTCAAACCAATAACGTACGGTACTTAACCTATAATTGACTGTTTTGGGGCACAAAAAATCAGTTGAAATGAGGTATGAAGGCAAAAACGTTTCTATCAAGGCAGTTACATTGAAACATTAGGTGGTTTTAAGGAACAACATGGTGTAAGAAAACCTCCCTTACTCCAGCTCAGCCTTACAAAGCCTGTGATCTCATTCGTGGTGCTACAGATGAACCAAGTTTGGTGCAGTTACAAAAAATTATTATAAGAGTAAAATGAATTTCTCCTAAATTTACTTCATAAACTAACAATTTTGGTTTACATTTACAAATAAATTTAACCAGGAAATAAGTTTCCTTGGATTCCAACAAGACCTAGGGGAGTAGAAAGCTAAATCTAGATAGCCTACAAGTGGTACTTGTACTGTTATGCATTGCGGTATTTAAATACTCAGAAATAATTGTCAGTTTGAGGGTGCCTACTTTCATTTATTTATTAGTCAGTGTTTAAGCTTTTACCCTATAACAGGCACTAGTGATATGTCTTAGTCCAGATTCTTGGAAAACAGAGCCTGAGACAATAGTTTATGAGCTAACATTTTATTGGGATACAATCTTGGAGAAGCGGAAGTGAGGAGAAATAGGGAATGAGCCAGGGAAGGAGGAGAAATACAGCTGGAAATGGTCCCTGGCCCTCAGAAATTGACCTTTTGGGAGAGACTTATGTGTAAATGGATTATGACAGTGTTTGGCTAGTACAATTTAGAGAAGCTGACAAAGTGCCATGTGAGCAAGGAGGACAGAATGAGCAACTTATCCGGCCAAAAGGAAGTGTAAAGCTTCACACTGCTGGAGACATGTGAATTGGTACTTGAAAACTGAGTGGGAATTTTTCAGATGAAAAGGAAAGGGAAGAGAATTCTCAGCAAGGTGTGGAAAGTATACAATGTGTATGAATGGGCCTGGTACTTTAGATCAATGGCAAGAAGCTCAGCATGCCAAATATATAGAGGTCAAAAGACTGTAAAATTGACAACAGACTCCTAAACCATGCTCAATACACAAGTTAAGACACTCCATGTTCACCATTCCAGGAAATCGAAAGAAGAGAACATTTGAGTTTATGCCATAAATGCCTGAGATTTCACAGATGGCCCTCCCAAAATTAACTGAGCTTACTTGTAAAATTTCCCCTTACATCTAAGGGAAAAAAGGAGGACTAATATTTTGGTCATGAGAAAATTCATTTTCTAAAACCCAGTCCCATACATACAGATATTAAAACCCAAGCTCAGTGATCCTAACATGAGTGATCCTCTTTAAGAAACCACTACATTCTACCCCCACTTCAGAAGAGGGGCACTCATCACGGGGAGAATGTCCAAGAACCCCCTGGGCTGGGAAGATAGAGCAGCAGCAATCACTTTTTAAATGGGCATAGTGTTTAGCTCTCTACACTGAAGACCTCATTCAATTATTACCACAAATCTATTAAGGAGATGTTAATGGTATTACCCACAGGTGAATAAACAGACTTAGAGAGGTTAATAAGTTGTTCCCCTGATGTCATTTAGCTAGTAAGATGAAGAGTTGAGGTTCAGATATTAGATATGTTGGAAGGCTTAAATAATAATTTCACTTGCGTCCTTGTGAAGAGACCACCAAACAGTCTTTGTGTGAGCAATAAAGCTTTTTATCACCTGGGTACAGGCAGGCTGAGTTCAAAAAGAGAGTCAATGAAGGGAGATGGGGTGGAGCTGTTTTATAGGATTTGGGTAATGGAAAATTACAGTCAAAGGGGGTTGTTCTCTGGCTGGCAGGGGTGGGAGTCACAAGGTGCTCAGTGGGGGAGCTTTTGAGCCAGGATGAGCCAGGAGAAGGAATTTCACAAGGTAATGTCATCAGTTAAGGCAGGAACAGGGCATTTTCACTTCTTTTGTGATTCCTCAGTTACTTCAGGCCATCTGGATGTATACGTGCAGGTCACAGGAGATATGATGGCTTAGCTTGGGCTCAGAGGCCTGACAAATAAAATATGTATACATTACCTAATAAAATACTAGTATTTAGTAGGCATTGAACAAAGGGTAGATCCTTACATAAGCTGGTTTTCCAACAATCATAATGGAAGAAGGATCTGATAGCTAGGTGAAAGACTGTTTTCATCATGACAAGAAATCTTCCTGGGGGACTCAAAACTACTCAATTGCTGTGTTAAATTCATGCTGAACAGTTACTTTAAGTGGATATTACAACCTCCTACTTATCCTCATCTTCTCTTCAAAAATCGAGCTATTTGCAGATTTTGGCTGATGATGGGAGGTTGTACAGAATAAAGAAAATAGATTCAGGCCCATTAACTCCTCACAAAATGTATGATATTTCTTGATGTATTCATTCAACACTTTAGCTTTGTCTTCACTGGAGATAGACTGGCATTGAGAAAAAATGTTGGTGTATAAAATGGAAGATGACTCAAATTCGACATTCTGTTGCTGACAGTTCAGCTTTATAAAGTTTAGAAATAGTTTAATTAAAGTATCTGGGCAGGGTAGAGGATTACTTGGATTTGATAGTGCTAGGATTTCTCACTAGATGGCGCTACTGATCTTATTTTAGTTTTTCTCTTCCTGCCTCCTCCTCTCACCCTCTTGACAGCTTTATTTTATTTATTTATTTATTTATTTATTTATTTTTTTGAGACGGAGTCTCGCTCTGTCGCCCAGGCTGGAGTGCAGTGGCGGGATCTCGGCTCACTGCAAGCTCCGCCTCCCGGGTTCACGCCATTCTCCTGCCTCAGCCTCCCAAGTAGCTGGGACTACAGGCGCCCGCCACTACGCCCGGCTAATTTTTTGTATTTTTAGTAGAGATGGGGTTTCACCGTTTTAGCCGGGATGGTCTCGATCTCCTGACCTCGTGATCCGCCCGCCTCGGCCAGCTTTATTTTTATACTCGCATAGAACCATGGAAATGTGACCTGTTTCACAATTTCTGTAGTAGGTTTCATATATGTTACAATGTTACCATACTCCCGATAATGAACCAGAAGAGCTCATACCGAGAATTGAAAGGGAAAGATGGTAGGAAGGGGTTGTGGGCCTATAAGGGAGACATCTTCCTTCCCTCTGGGTTCCCCAGGTGCAGTGCTTTTGTAAGAAAGGTATAAAGAGTGGTTCCTGGTTCTGAAGAGCTTGCTAAAAGAGAAAACACTCTAAAAGCATCTTGCTGAGGGCATGGACTGTCCTCACAGTACTTCATGGCCAGGCAGAATTAGGTTCCAATCTTTTACCTACAAAAGGAAGAGCAATAACACTTTATAAGGATTAAACATGATGTCACATGTAAAATGCTTAATGATACACCTAAGTTCTCAAAAATGAGTAGCGCTTATAATTATGGTTTTTTGTTTACTACAGTAAGAAAACATACAACAGAAACCTGCCTGATAAAAAAAAAAATTAAAGTGTTAAGAATTTTTAAGCCTAAGAAACTTAGTGGTAAGGGAATGAAACAAGAATATTTGCTGAGTGCTTGCTATGTTCCAGAAGCTCATTTAAAACTTCAAAATAGGCCTATGGAGTTGGTATTGTTATTATCCTCATTTAATAGATAAGGAACCTAAGACCAAGGTCACACTGTAAGTGGCAAAGCTTGAATATGAACTCAAGCCTTGTGGCTCCAAAGCCCACAAGTTTAACCAAAAACCAGAGTGCCCATGAAGCTTTTAAAAAGAGACTGACTTGGATAGATAAACTGTGCTACATCCACGTAATAAATATTACTCAGCAATAAAAAGCAGTGACTACAAATGAATACAACAAATGCCTATACTAAGTGAAAGAAGCCAGATTCAAAAAGCTATATTTAGACTGATTCCATTCATATAACATTCTGGAAAAGGCAAAACTACAGAAACAGATTAATGACTGCTGGGGTCTGGTGGGGGTTGACCACAAAGGGGCTCAAGGGAACTTTCTGGGGCGATAAAAATATTCTATATCTTGAATGTGGTAGTGGCTACACAACTGTATTCTTTTGTCAAAATTCATAGAAATGTACATCTAAAAATCATAAATGTTATTGTATCTTTATTATACCCTAATAAACCTGACTTTTAAAAAAAGAGGCCAACTAAAACACACAAAATGAATGGTAACTAACATTTGCACACTTCTGAGGAAAAAGTATTAAAATGGGGAAGGGATCCAAAGATTAAGAATACTTTTGATATAACAACGCTACAGAAGAAAGTGCTGGAAGACCAAAGGATAAAAATATAAAATGAGCCAAGGTGACAATAAAGGAATAAAGACAACACTGAACACAGCATGCATAGGAATTACCTGAGGAACTTGTTAAAATGCAGACCCCAAAAGCAACTCCAGTGACTGGCATTCAGTAGGTCTGGGACAGGCCCAAGATCATTTTAAACAAAGGACCCCACATAAAATCACTTGAGATATAGAATAAAATTAAGAAATTTTAAAAATAAAACAAAACTGATTAGAAAGTAGAAGTTTAAGGATCAAACCTGAGGATTAACAACCCTTATAAAACTGGGCTTTCGCAGTGAGACAGAGGCCTAAGCTGATTCATTGCCTGTTCAGGCTGGAGTTCCCCGCAGGGGGTTCCTGGGGATAAAGAAATGTTTCTAGGGAGCACCCCTTTTAGATCATGGAGTAGGGAAGTACACTCGCCCTTGCCAAAGGAGGGTACCCTCTCCAGTTGCCAAACCAAGGAGAAGGCAGCCCACACTCTGCCCATCATCTCCCTAGTCACGTCCCCACTTCTACCACACCTTTAAATCTTGGAGAAGCTGAGACTCCAACCTCAGCTCCCCTCTTGCCTCACTTCCTACTCTCCCTCCAGGTGTCACAGGAAAGGGGTCGGGATCCAAACCCCAAGAGAGGGTTCTTGAATCTCGCGCGAGAAAATCCAGGGTGAGTCCGTAAAGTGAAGGCAAGTTTATTAAGAAAGAAAAGAAATAAAAGAATGGCTACTCCATAGACAGAGCAGTCCTGAGGGCTGCTGGTTGCCCATTTTTATGGTTATTTCTTGATGATATGTTAAACAAGGGGCAGATTATTCATGCCCTCCCTTTTTAGACGATACAGGGTAACTTCCTGACGTTGCCACGGCATTTGTAAACTGTCATGGTGGGAGTGCAGCAGTGAGGACACCAGAGTCACACTCATCGCCATCTTGGTTTTGGTGGGTTTTAGCTGGCTTCCTTACTGCAACCTGTTTTATCCGCAAGGTCTTTGACCTGTATCTTGTGCCAAACTCCTATCTCCCCTGTGACTTAGAATGCCTAACCGTCTGGGAATGCAGCCCAGTAGGTCTCAGCCTCATTTTACCCAGCCCCTATTCGAGACGGAGTTGTTAGGGCCGGGCATGGTGGCTCACGCCTGTAATCCCAGCACTTTGGGAGGCCGAGGCAGGCAGATCACCTGAGGTCAGTAGTTTGAGACCAGCCTGACCAACATAGTGAAACCCCATCTCTACTAAAAATACAAAATTAGCCGGGCATGGTGGCACATGCCTGTAATTCCAGCTACTTGGGAGCCTGAGGCAGGAGAATCGCTTGAACCTGGGAGGCGGAGGTTGCAATAAGCCGAGATTGCACCATTGCACTCCAGCCTGGGCAACAAGAGCAAAACTCCGTCTCAAAAACAAACAAACAAAAAAACAAAACCACAACAAAAAAACACAACACCAAGATGGAGTTGCTCTAGTTCAAACACCTGATACAGGGAGTAAATTTCATTTATTTTTAAAGTAAACTTCTTCATTTTCTGCAGCCACACTGGCTTTTCTTTGAGTTCTGTGAATGGGTCAGTCCCACCCAGGGATCACACAGGATGTTGCCCTCTGCTGGAAGACTCCAGACCAGCTCATCCCAGCTCCAGCTCCACCTCATTTCTTCAGAGAAAGGCACCATGCCATATATGCCCTTAGCATCTTCCACTGCCTATTCACAGTGGTCAAACCCTCACCTGATGAGTTTCATGACTGCTTTTTTTCTAAGTTTTGTGAATGTACCCACTGGTTCTAGCTCACTCAATTTTGAATGTATTTGGCACAGTTCTTATGACAAAATTGCTCAAAAACTTATGAGTAAAAAATAATTTAAAATGTAATTTGGTACTGCTGTAAAAATGAGTGCATTTAATTGCTGGCTGTATCCACCTTTAAATACTCTCTTCTTTAGGCTTTTGTGACACCAAACACTCTTGGTCAAGATGGGCTATATAATTGAATTTGTGGAGCCCATTGCAAAATGATGTGGAATCTTTTGTTCAGAAAGCAAAAGAAAAGCACCACTAAAGGTGCTAAAATATGTGACAGCACTGATCTAAACCAAGCATGGGGCTCTTTTGAGTGCTGGATCCCATGTAACAGCGCAGGTCTCTCTGTTCTTGGTTTCCCTCCTACATCACTGACCACTCCTTCAGTCTGTTTTGCAGGCTGGTTTTGTGTTTGCTTTCATTATTCCAGACTCTCATTTACTTGATCTATTATATTTGCCTGTGTGATCTAATCTTGCTCCATGTCTTCCAGATTTACATCTCTAGCCTTACCCTGTCCTCTGGACTGCAGCCACCAAGTTAATCTTCACTTGATATCTAATAGGCCTCTCAAAATCAACATATTCTGAACAAAACCCCTGCCCACGCTCCCACCTACCCTCCTCCTTCCCTAGTTTTCTCCATCTCAGTAAATGTTTCTCAGGCCCCAAACCAAAACTTTATCTCTTCCCCTCTTACCCTACACTCAAAATCCTTTTAACTTTACCTCTAAGCTGAGCCATGAACCTGATTCATTCTTGGGAGCTCCACTGGCATCACCCACGTGTGAGTCACTATCTTTTCATTCTTGTACCACTGAAACAGCCTCCAAAATTACCTGCTTCCTGTTCCCCTTGCTCTTCTCAGTCCGTTCACTTCGTGACCTAAGACATGAAAAAGAACATAGCACTCACAAGAATCTCCCTGATCGGTTTCTCTGCCTTTGACCTCACTGCTTACAACTCTCTCCAACTCATCAGATCTTGGCTTCACTTGCTTTCTTCCTGCCAATCTATAATGCCAAGCAAATTCCATCTCAGGGCCTTTCTCCCTGGTGTTCCCTCTGCTTGGAATGCTCTTCCTCCATTGTTTAAGTTTCCTGAATGTTTGTCCTGAGTGCTGCATCCTCGTCGTCCAAGTCTCAGTTCAAATGCTTCCTCTGAACACCCAAGTAAAATCAGCATCACCTTGCCAGCAATCACTCCCTATTGCATTACCGTTTTATTTCTTCATTGTACTGTCAAAAATTATCTTATTTCACACACACACACACACACACACACACACACACACACACCCCAATAATGGTAACTACAGGTCTATCCAGCTGATTTCTGAGTATCTAAACCTTCCTGGGTTTTAAGCACTCTAACTAGAGTGGTATACCTCACCATGTTTATGAAGACCTAATCATACCCAATGTTTATCTTATGGTTTTTCTCTGTTAAAAATCCTTATTTCCTTTCAGGTTGTTTGGGCAGATAGTTACAAAGT